>NC_000004.12:95285017-95588047 GCF_000001405.40 Homo sapiens | reverse complement strand
AAATGAGTAAAACAACATAAATATATTACGTTTTTAATAAATTTTATACATAAAGAGCAAAATTTTATTGGAAACTCATTTCTTAATGAGATGGAAGCAGTTCTATTCCCCTGATTAATTTATATATCTGAGGATGAAGATTACTTATTGCCAGACAAAATAGTGGTTCACTATCAATTCTATTCTATTTGATCCACTACCAAATACCGAATCAATTAGATACTCCTCCAAGTTTGTTGAAAGCAAAAAATTCGAAATCATGACGTGCAAATGGATTTGGTATTGTTATTAGACTTATGTACTTCCTCAAAGCAAACACTCACGTTTGTAATTGTCATTTTATTTAATACTGAGAGTAGGGTTTCTACACTATAAGACAATTCAACAATGGTTGCAACACAAGATAGAAGAAAAGGATGCCCCTTTTTTGTGAAGTGTAAGAGAAGGGCAATCGTAGAAGGAAGTGGGAAAAGAAATCAGGCTTAATTTCTCAGTCATGCTTTTTCAGGCTGATACATATTATTTTTAGTACTTATGAAAATTAGAAGACCTCTGATCTATTTCAGCATTCCACTAGCAAAACAATCCATTCTGAAACAACCTTGAGAGGTATTAACAAATATTCCTAGCCCTCCAGGTCCACATTAGCTCAATCCAAGTTTCATTGTCTGAGATGTTCTCATTTTGGAAAAGAGGCAGGGCTGTGGAGGAGGGATTCTTTTGTCCCTCACTAATATCCAAAAATTCCACCCACTTCTTCTGAATTTCCCATTTATCTTAATTGTTCTGGACAGCAGTGAGACTGAGAATAATGATAATATGTACCAAACCATCATGAGACCTCTCTTCCTCTGATGATCTTAACCAAAATCATCATTCTAGAGAACGATATACTTTTAAGGCATGGTGTCATCTCTCCCATCCCCAAACACAGGCACTTACCATTTAGAGTCGGAAGGATCCATTTCTGCAACTACTGAGGATTCAACTTCATTGATTGAATTAACTTTGTTTTACTAGTAACACCGATCATAGTTGTTTTACTTCATTATATAGGTCACATTTTAACATCTTGTCCATACTTATATCAGGGAAAAACTAACCCTCTATGGCATTCCCTTGAGTTAATATAGGCAAACAATTGTCCAGAAAGAAAATGGTATTACATGGATATAAATTTTCTTAAAGACTCTTGCTCCTACTAGTGAAACTTAACTTATATTAAAGCTCACAAATCATCTGACCTAGAGTTTTTCCATGAATTGATATAAGCGTACCAAAATGAAATATTCAGGATTTGCCCATTTCCCTTTTTTGAAAAGTACTTGAACATTTGCCAGTTTTCCAGCCTTAAGTCGTCTCTACTATTTACATTCATTTACCAAATATCAAAATCTTTATATATCTATATGCATATATGCATTATTCTCTGCCCTAGGATTTAATTTGCATTTACATACACACTGCTAATATAAGACATCTAAATTGATTTTAATTTCTCTTAAAATGAGTAACTATTTTACTCTCTGCATTTTGAGAATATTTTCTTGACAGAAAAATAAGGAAGCACCAAGGTGGGAGGACCACTTGAGGCCAGGAGTCTGAGACCAGCTTCAGCAACATAGCAAGACTCCCATCTCTATTTAAAAAAAGACAGCTGGTTTTGGTGGCACACACGTGTAGTCCCAGTTACTCGGGAGGCTGAGGCGGGAGGATTGCTTGAGCCCAGGAATTCAAGGCTACAGTCACACCACTGTACTCCAGGCTAAGAGACACTGCAAGATCCTGGAAAGAAGAAAGAAAAGAAAAGAAGGAAAAAGAAAAAGAAAGAAAAGAAAAGAACAGGAGAGGAGAGGAGAGGGAAGGAAGGAAAAAATAAAAGAAAGAGGAGAGAGGAGAGGAGGAAACAGAAAGATGAGGAAGCAAAATATTAATTTTATTAAATTAATCATAATGTGCTGTTTCTATACTAATTACAATGTTAGAATGCTTTCTGTTTTCATCAATTAGAACAACAATGTATTTATATTTTTGAATGCAGCATTTTAAATATTGGATATCATCTACTTAAGCAGACATGCAAACATAGATGCTTAATGTGTGAACTATTGCATTTCCATAAGCATTTAAATCACTGGTATATATTCTGCTAAATGTATTCCACTGAGGTGGTTATTGTCTGAGGACTTAATTTCCCTTAGGGCAGTTTTTACACTCTAATATTGTCCTTAGCATAAACATATTAGGATTTTTTCATGTGGTAATATTGATATCTGTTCTCAAGACTCAAGCTACAACCTTAAAATTTTTCTCTGAATGAGATCTTTTATATAGTCTTCACAAAATAAATATTACTCATCTCTAATAATTTGTATTAACTAGAAATATCAAATTATTGTCAATATTCTGATATTTAATAATTCCAAATATTTAATAATTCAGGATAGACTAAGAGTGAACTGGAAAATTTCCCAGTCTTAAAAAGTGACAACACATTAACTTAGTCATAACTACTCATAACTTAGTCATAACTAGTCATAACTTAGTCATAACTAGGTGCATAAGAGATGAAATGCCAAAGTTAACACCAGGTCCAGGTAAACTTAAAAAGCAGAAATACACAAACAGGCAGGATAAATTGGAGCACATGAGCCTTCTATTTTCATATGAGTCTCAAATGGATGGATGTCAGGATTGGAATATTTCTAAGTTATTATTCTAATCAAGTCCTGTAGCATTTTTTGAGGACTTTACTCTTACAGGAGCCATAATAGCACCTAGAGATACAAACTTCTTAGCCATAAAAGCTATTCTCCATGTCATCACACTAAAGAAATGAGCACAGATATGCCAATAAATAATGTGCCCAGAGCACGGTGGCTCATGCCTGTAATCCTAGCACTCTGGGAGGCTGAGGGGGGCGAATCACGAGGTCAAGAAATTGAGACCGTCCTGGCCAACATGGTAAAACCCCGTCTCTACTAAAAATACAAAAATTAGCTGGATGTGTTAGGCACACACCTATAGTCTCAGCTACTCAGGAGGCTGAGACAGGAGAATTGCTTGAACCCGGGAGGCGGAGGTTGCAGTGAGCCGAGATCATGCCACTGCACCCTAGCCTAGTGACAGAGCAAGACACCATCTCAAAAAAAAAAAAAAAAAAAGAATTGCTCAGGGAAGGGAGTTATCTTCCTCTCTGGGAGAGGTCGGTGACTATTTCATAGATAACAACTAGGCCACTTTGGTAGATGAATACTCATTTAACAGGGAGACACATAGCTAGTGAATATTAAGTTCTCTTCTGCTCATATGAGATAAAAAGTTGTCATAAGAAGTGACCAGGGCCCACTCCTGCCACCACTGACACATGTGAATGCTGCTGGGAGACCTCAGGACCAGCCCACCCAGTGTACTAGTCTTCAGCAAAGCCTCACCACAGCCTCCACAAACAACCACAGCCTAAGCCACTGAGGAGCTCAAGGACAATACTGATGTTGATCACAGCCAAAGAAATCATATGGAGACCATACTATGGTGCTCACCCCGAACCAAACCAAAGTACACTACCCAGCCAACATTATAGATCCATCAACAGAAAAAAGTATTTTTCTATGAAAATAATTTAATAGGAAAGCTATATCATAAATTTGGAAGAAATTACTGTTAAGCTAGATGCACAAATATTAACTTAAAAACACAGGAAACATAAAAAAGTAAGGAACCTAACACTTTCGAAGGAAAATAATAATTTTCCCATAACATACCCCAAATAAAAGGAAATCTATGAAATGTCTGAACTGAAAAGGAATTCAAAAGAATGACATTAAGGAAACTCAATGAGACACGAGGGAATACAGAACATATAATCAGGAAAACAATTCATGATCTGAATAAGAAATTCAACAAAGGGATATTGTAAGAAACAACTAAACAAAAATAGTGGAACTAAAGAATTCTATAAAATAAAAATACCATCAAGATGTTAACAAGAGACTAGATCAAGCAGGTGAAGTAATTTCAGAACTTGAAGAGAGGTCTTTTGAAATAGCACAATCAGACAAAACAAAAAAAGAATAAAAAAGAATGAAGAACGTCTACATGACATATGGGACACCATCAAGTGAACAAATAATACAATTTTTGGAATTTCAGAAAAGAGATGAGAAAAGGCATTAAAAATCTATTTTATGATAAATCTCCAAACTGCTTTTCACAGTGGTTGAACTAATTTACATTTCCACCAACAGGGTATAAGTGTTCCCTTTTCTCTGCAATCTTACCAATATATGTTATTTTTTATCTTTAATAATGGCCATTTTGACTGCTGTGAAATGGTACCTCACTGGGGTTTTGATTTGCATTTCTCTAATGATTACTGATGTTGAGCATTTTTTTTCACATATTTGTTGGCCACAGCTATGTCTTCTTACGAGAAGGTGTCTTCATATCCTTTGCTCATTTTAATGGGGTTGCTTTTCGCTTGTTGATTTGTTTAAGTTCCTTATAGATTCTGAATATTAAATCTTTGGCAGATGCAGAGTTTGCAAATATTTTCCCCTATTCTCTAGGTTATCTGTTTACTCTATTGATAATTTATTTAGGTCTACCTTGTCAATTTTTGTTTTTGTTGCAATTGCTTTTGGGGACTTAGTCATAGATTCTTTCCCAAGGCTGATACCCCGAATGGTCTTTCCTAGGTTTTCACTAGGATTCTTATAGTTTTAGGTCTTACATTTAAGTTTTAATCTATCTTCAGCTAATTTTCATATAGGATGAAAGGTAGGGGTCCAGTTTCATTCTTCTGCATATGGTGAGCCAGTTATCCTGGAATTTAGGTATACCATTCAAGTCAGCAATCCCATTACTGGGTATATATTGAAAGGAAAATAAAACATTCTACCAAAAAGACACAGGCACTCATATGTTTATTGCAGCAATATGCACAATAGCAAACACATTGTGTCAACCCAGATGCCCATAAATATGAACTAGATAGGGAAAGTATTTGTACATATATGCCATGGAATACTGTGCAGTCATAAAAAATGATGAAATCATGTTATTTTCAGCAACATGGATGCAACTGGAGACCATTAGCCTAAGTGAATTAACACAGGAACAGAAAACCAAATACTAAATGTTTTCACTTGTAAGTGGGAGCTAAACATTGAGTACACAGGGGCATAAAGATGAGAACAATAGACACTAGGACTACTAGAGGGTAGAGGATAGGAATGGAGGCAAGAGTTGAAAAACTATGAGGTACTATGTGCACTACCTGGGTGATGGAATCACTTGTACACCAAACCTTAGCAACATGCAATTTCCCCCATGTAACAAACCTGCACATGTACTCCTGAACCTAAAATAATTTTTTTAAAAAACTAATAAAATAATGAAATAGGGGAAAATTTCTTAATTCTTGGAAGACATATAGACATCAATATTCAAGAAGCTAAAAGTTCCCAAAAGACTCAACCCAAACAGATCCTTTCCAAGGCACATTATAGTCAAACTGTCAAGTCAAAGGAAAAGAGAGAGAATTATATTTTTAAAAAAGCAGGAGAAAAGCATAAAATCACATATAAGGGAATTCCCAACATATTAACAGCAGATTTCTCACCAGAAGCCTTATAGGCCAGGAGAAAATGGGATTATATAGTCACATCAAAAGAAAAAAATGCTACTTAAAAATACTTTACCCAACAAAGTTATCTTTCAGAAACAAAGATGAAATAAAGTATTTCCAAGACAAGCAAAAACCAAGGGAATTCATCACAACTATATTGACCCTATAAGAGATGTTTAGCAGAGACCTACATCTGGAACTAAAGGATAACATCTACCATCATGAGAATATATGAAAGTATAAAACTCATTGGTAGAGCAGATATGCGAGTGAGAAAGAACAAGAAATAAAATATTACTAAAGATAAACAACAGATTGCAAAGATAAACAATAAGAGGCGAAGAAAGGAACAAAGGATATAGAAAACAATCAGAAAACAATTATTAAAAATGGCAAGAGTAAGTCCTCATCTATCAATTAAAAACCTTGAATGTAAATGGTTTAAATTTCCCAATTAAAAGATAAACACTGATACAGCAGATTAAAAATAAAAAAAAAAACAACAACTATACACTGCTTACCAAACCCTTACATCCCTATTAAGTCACACATAGATTGAAAGTAAAGAAATGGAAAAAAAAGATATTCCATGCCAATAGAAATAAAAAATATGCAGGAATACCCGTACTTATATCAGACAAAATAGACTTTACGTCAAAAAACAAGAAAAAAGATTAAGTTTATTATATAATGATAAAGGGGTCAATTCAGCAAGAAGACAAAATACCTTTCAAAGTATTTGCACCTACCAACAAAGAACACAGATATGTAAAGCAAATATTATTGGAGTTAAAGAGAGACATAGACTCTAGTACAATAATAGTTGAGAACTTAAATACCTCACTTTCAGCATAGGACAGATCATTTAGACTTAAATTCAACAAAGAAACAAAAGACTTAAATTGCACTGTAGACCAAATAAACTTCAAAGACATTTATACAATATTTCATCCAACAGCTGTAGAATACATATTCTTCTAATTAGCACATGGAACATTCTCCAGGATAGAACACATATTAGGCCACAACAGGAACTTCAGCAAATATTTTCTTTTTTTTTTTTGAGACAGAGTCTCACTCTGTCCCCCATGCTGGAGTGCAGTGGCACGATCTCGGCTCACTGCAAGCTCCGCCTCCCGGGTTCACACCATTCTCCTGCCTCAGCCTCCCGAGTAGCTGGGACTACAGGTGCCCGCCACCAGACCCGGCTAATTTTTTTGTATTTTTCGTAGAGACAGGGTTCCACCATGTTAGCCAGGATGGTCTCAATCTCCTGACCTCATGATCCACCTGCCTCGGCCTCCCAAAGTGCTGGGATTACAGGCATGAGCCACCACGCCCGGCCAAATTTCAGTAAATATTTTCAAATGGAAATTATATAAAATATCTTCTTAAACAACAATGGAATAAAACTAAAATTCAATAACAGGAGAAACTCTGGAAACTCTACAAATATTAATCCATGGAAATTAAATAGGTGGTCACTTCTAAGACAGCCGAATAGGAATAGCTCCGGTCTGCAGCTCCCAGCAAGATCGACACAGAAGACAGGTGATTTCTGCATTTCCAACTGAGGCACCTGGTTCATATCATTGGGACTGGTTGGACAGTGGGTGCAGCCCACGGAGGGCAAGCTGAAGCAGGGTGGGGTGTTGCCTCACCCACGAAGCACAAGGGGTTGGGGGATTTCCCTTTCCTAGCCAAGGGAAGCTGCGACAGACTGTACCTGGAGAAATGGTACACTCCTGACCAAATACTGAGCATTTCCCACAGTCTTTGCAACCAGCAAACCAGGAGATACCCTCCCGTGCCTGGCTCGGTGGGTCCCACACCCAGGGAGCTTCGCTCACTGCTAGCACAGCAGTCTGAGATCGACCTGTGATGCTACAGCTTGAAGGGGGAAGGGGTGCCTGCCATTGATGGGGCTTGAGTAGCTCACAGTGTAAACAAAGAGGCCAGGAAGCACGAACTGGGCAGAGCCCACTGCAGCTCAGCAAGGCCGCCTGCCTCTATAGATTCCACCTCTGGGGGCAGGTCATAGCAGATTAAAAGGCAGCAGACAGCTTCTGCAGACTTAAACATCCCTGTCTGACAGCTCTGAAGAGAGCAGTGGTTCTCTCAGCATGGCATTCAAGCTCCGAGAACGGACAGACTGCCTCCTAAAGTGAGTCCCTGACCCCTGTGTAGCCTGACTGGGAAACACCTCCCAGTAGGGGCTGACAGACACCTCAAACAGGCGAGTGCCCCTCCGGGATGAAGCTTCCAGAGGAAGGATCAGGCAGCAATATTTGCTGTTCTGCAGCCTCTGCCGGTGATACCTAGGCAAACAGGGCCTGGAGTGGACCTCCAGCAAACTCCAACAGACCTGCAGCTGAAAGGTCTGTTAGAAGGAAAACTAACAAACAGAAAGGAATAGCATCAACATCAACAAAAAGGACATCGACAACAAAACCCCATCTGTAGGTCACCAACATCAAAGACCAAAGGTAGATAAAACCACAAAGATGGGGAGAAACCCGAGAAGAAAAGCTGAAAATTCCAAAAAACAGAGCACCTCTTCTCCCCTATAGGATCACAGCTCCTCGCCAGCAACAGAGTAAAACTGGACAGATGATGAGTTTGACAAGTTGACAGAAGTAGGCTTCAGAAGTTTGGTAATAACAAACTTCTCCGAGCTAAAGGAGTATGTTCTAACCCATTGCAAGGAAGCTAAAAACCTTTCAAAAAGGTTAGATGAATGGCTAACTAGAATAAACAGTATAGAAAAGCTCTTAAATGACCTGATGGAGCTGAAAACCATGGCCCGAAAACTTTGTGATGCATGCACAAGCTTCAATAGCCAATTCGATCAAGTGGAAGAAAGGATACAGTGATTGAAGATCAAATTAATGAAATAAAGTGAGAAGACAAGATTAGATAAAAAAGAGTGAAAAGAAATGAACAAAGCCTCCAAGAAACACGGGACTATGTGAAAAGACCAAATATACATTTGATTTGTGTACCTGAAACTGATGGGGAGAATGGAACCAAGTTAGAAAACACTCTTCAGGATATTATCCAGGAGAACTTCCCTAACCTAGCAAGGCAGGCCAATATTCAAATTCAGGAAACACAGAGAACACCACAAAGATACTCCTTGAGAAGTGCAACCCCAAGACACATAATTGTCAGATTCACCAAGGTTGAAATGAAGGGAAAAAATGTTAAGTGCAGCCAGAGAGAAAGGTGGGTTACCCAGAAAGGGAAGCCCATCAGCCTAATAGTGGATCTCTCGGCAGAAACCCTACAAGCCAGAAGAGAGTGGGGGCTAATATTCAACATACTTAAAGAAAATAATTTTCAACCCAGAATTTCATACCCAGCCAAACTAAGCTTCATAAGTGAAGGAGAAATAAAATCCTTTACAGACAAGCAAAGGCTGAGAGACTTTGTCACCACCAGGCCTGCCTTACAAGAGCTCCTGAAAGAAACACTAAACATGGAAAGGAACAGCTGGTACCAGCCACTGCAAAAACATGCCAAATGGTAAAGACCATTGATGCTATGAAGAAAATGCATCGACTAACAGGCAAAGTAACCAGCTAACATCATAATAACAGGATTAAATTCAAACATAATAATATTACCCTTGAATGTAAATGGGCTAAATGCTCCAATTAAAAGACACACTGGCAAACTGGATAAAGAGTGAAGACCCATTGGTGTGCTGTATTCAGAAGCTCCATCTCAAATGCACAGATGCACATAGGCTCAAAATAAAGGATAGAGGAAGATCTACCAAGCAAATGGAAAGCAAAAAAAAGCAGGTGTTGCAATCCTAGTCTCTGATAAAACAGACTTTAAACCAAAAAGATCAAAAGAGACAAAGAAGGCCACTACATAATGCTAAAGGGATCAATTCACCAAGAAGAGCTAACTATTCTAAATATATATGCACCAATACAGGAGCACCCAGATTCATAAAGCAAGTCCTTAGAGACTACAAAGAGACTTACACTCCCACACAATAACAATGGAAGACTTTAAAACCCTGCTGTCAATGTTAGACAGATCAACAAGACAGAAGGTTAATGAGGATATCCAGGGCTTGAACTCAGCTCTGCACCAAGTGGAACTAATGGACATCTACAGAACTCTACACCCCAAATCAACAGAATATACATTCTTCTCAGCACCACATCACACTTATTCTAAAATTGACCACATAATTGGTAGTAAAACACTCCTCAGCAAATGTAAAAGAACAGAAAACACAACAAACTGTCTCTCAGACCACAGTGCAATCAAATTAGAACTCAGGATTAAGAATCTCACTCAAAACCGCACTACTACACAGAAACTGAACAACCTGCTCCTGAATGACTACTGGGTTCATAACGAAATGAAGGCAGAAATAAAGATGTTCTTTGAAACCAATGAGAACAAAGACACAATATACCAGAATCTCTGGGACACATTCAAAGCAGTGTGTAGAAGGAAATTTATAGCACTAAATGCCCACAAGAGAAAGCAGGAAAAATCTAAAATTGACACCCTAACATCACAATTAAAAGAACTAGAGAAACAAGAGCAAACAAATTCAAAAGCTAGCAGAAGGCAATAAATAACTAAGATCAGAGCAGAACTGAAGGAGATGAGACACAAAAAACTCTTCAAAAAATCAATGAATACAGGAGCTGGTTGTTTGAAAAGATCAACAAAATTGATAGGCCGCTAGCAAGATGAATAAGAAAAGAGAGACACATCAAATAGACGCAATAAAAAATGATCAAGAAGATATCACCACTTATCCCACAGAAATACAAACTAACCATCAGAGAATACTATGCAAATAAACTAGAAATTCTACAAGAAATGGATAAATTCCTGGACACATACACTCTCCCAAGACTAAACCAGGAAGAAGTTCAATCTCTGAATAGACCAATAACAGGTTCTGAAATTGAGGCAATAATTAACAGCCTGCCAACCAAAAAAAGTCCAGGACCAGATGGATTCACAGGCTAATTCCACCAGAGCTACAAAGAGGAGCTGGTACCATTCCTTCTGAAACTATTTCAATCAATAGAAAAAGAGGGAATCCTCCCTAGCCTAATTTTATGAGGCTAGCATCATCCTGATACCAAAGCCTAGTAGAGACACAACAACAAAAAAAGAGAATTTTAGGCTGATATCCCTGATGAACATTGATAAGAAAATCCCCAATAAAACACTGGCAAACTGAATCCAGCAGCACATCAAAAAGCTTATCCATCATGATCAAGTCGGCTTCATCCCTGGGATGCAAGGCTGGTTCAACATAGACAAATCAATAAACATAATCCATCACATAAACAGAACCAAAGACAAAAACCACATAATTATCTGAATAAATGCAGAAAAGGCCTTCAATAAAATTCAACATCCCTTCATGCTAAAAACTCTCAATAAACTAGGTATTGATGGAATGTGTCTCAAAATAATAAGAGCTATTTATGAACAACCTGCAGCCAATACCATTTCTGAATGGGCAAAAACTGGAAGCATTCCCTTTTAAAACCAGCACAACACAAGGATGCCCTCTCTCACCACTCCTATTCAACATAGTGTTGGAAGTTCTGGCTAGGGCAATCAGGCAAGAGAAAGAAATAAAGAGTATTCAATTAGGAAAAGAGGAAGTCAAATTGTCCCTGTTTGCAGATGACATGATTGTATATTTAGAAAACCCCACTGTCCCAGCCCAAAATCTCCTTAAGCTTCTAAGCAAATTCAGCAAAGTCTCAGGATACAAAATCAATGTGCAAAAATCACAAGCATTCCTATACACCAATAATAGAAAAGCAGAGAGCCAAATCATGAGTGAACTCCCATTCACAATTACTAAAACGAGAATAAAATACCTAGGAATCCAACTTACAAGGGATGTGAAGGACCTCTTCAAGGAGAACTACAAACCACTGCTCAACAAAATAAAAGAAGAAACAAACAAAAGGAAGAATATTCCATGTTCATGGATAGGAAGAATCAATATCGAGACAATGGCTATACTGCCCAAGGTAATTTATAGACTCAATGCCATCTCCATCAAGCTACCACTGACTCTCTTCACAGAATTGGAAAAAACGACTTTAAAGTTCATATGGAACCAAAAAAGAACCCACATAGCCAACACAACACTAAGCAAAAAGAACAAAGCTGGAGGCATCATGCTACCTGACTTCAAACTATACTACAAGGCTACAGTACCCAAAACAGCATGGTACTGGTACCAAAACAGAGAACGAGCAATGGAGAAAGGATTGCCTATTTAATAAATGGTGCTGGGAAAACTGGCTACCCAAATGTAGAAAGCTGAAACTAGATCACTTCCTTACACCGTGTACAAAAATTAACTCAAGATGGATTAAAGACTTAAACGTAAGACCTAACACCATAAAAACCCTAGAAGAAAACCTAGGCAATACCATCCAGGACGTAGGCATGGGCAAAGCTTCATGACTAAATCACCAAAGGCAATGGCAACAAAAGCCAGAATAGACAAATGGGATCTAATTAAAGAGCTTCTGCACAGCAAAAAAAAAAAAAACACTATTATCAGAGTAAACAGGTAATCTACAGAATGGAAGAAAATCTTTGCAATCTACCCATCTGACAAAGGGCTAATATCCAGAATCTATGAAGAACTTAAACAAATTTACAAAAAAAAAAACCAACCCCATCAGAAAGTGGGTGAAGGATATGAACAGACACTTCTCAAAAGAAGACATTTATGCAGCCAACAGACACATGAAAAAATGCTCATCACCACTGGTCATCAGAGAAATGCAAATCAAAACCACAATGCGATACCATCTCATGGCAGTTAGAATGGTGATCATTAAAAAGTCAGGAAACAACAGATGCTGGAGAGGATGTGGAGAAATAGGAAGGCTTTTACACTGTTGGTGGGAGTGTAAATTAGTTCAACCATTGTGGAAGACAGTGTTGTGATTCCTCAGGGATCTAGAACTAGAAATACCATTTGACCCAGCAATCCCATTACTGGTTATATACCCAAAAGATTATAAATCATTTTACTATAAAGACACATGCACCCATATGTTTATTGCGGCACTATTCACAATAGCAAAGACTTGGAACAAACCCAAATGACCATCAGTGATAGATTGGATTAAGAAAATGAGGCGCATATACACCATGGAACACTATGCAGCCATAAAAAAGATGAGTTCATGTCATTTGCAGGGACATGGATGAAGCTGGAAACCATCATCCTCAGCAAACTGTCACAAGGACAGAAAACCAAACACTGCGTGTTCTCACTTATAGGTGGGAGTTGAACAATGAGAACACTTGGACACAGGGTGGGGATCATCACACACCAGGGCCTGTCAGGGGTGGGGGCTGGGGGGCTAGGGGAGGGATAGCATTAGGAGAAATACCTAATGTAAATGAAGAGTTGATGGGTGCAGCAACCCAACAGAGTTGATGGGTGCAGCAACCCAACATAGACACATGTATACATATGTAACAAACCTGCACGTTGTGCATACGTACCCTAGAACTTGAAGTATAATAAAAAACAAAATTAAATAACATTCACCTGAACAACCATTGAATCAATGAACAAATTAAGACAAAATTAATCGAAAAATTTTTTGAAACAAATGAAAATTGAAACACAAAATAAAAAAAATCTATGGGATATAGCAAAATCTAAGTGGAAAATTTGTAGCAATAAGTGCCTACCTTTAAAAAGTAGAAAGATTTCAAGTAAGCAATCTGACAATGCACCCCAAGGAACTAGAAAAGCAAGACCCAACCAAACCACAAATTTGTAGAAGGAAAGAAATAATAAAGATCAGAGCAAAACTAAAGCAAAAGAGACGAAAACAATACAAATGATTATTAAGAAAAAGTGAATTTGGTTTTCTGAAATGATACAAAAATCCACAAATTATAAGCTAGATTAAGAACAAAAGAGAGAGGACACAAATAAAATCAGAAACAAAAAGGGAGACAGTGCAACTGATACCACAGACATGCAAAGGATCATTAGAGCCTATTTTGAACAACTATATGCAAGCAAATTAGAAATCATAAAGGAAATGGATAAATTTCTGAATCCATATAAACCACCAAGATTGAACAAGCAAGAAGTAGAAAACCTGAACAGACCAATAGAGGTCACAAGGTTGAAATAGTAATAAAAAGTCCCCCAAAAAAGAAGTGTCCAAGACAAGATGGCTTTCTTCCTGTATTCTACCAAACTTTCAAAGAAGAACAAATATAAATTCTTCTCAAAATATTACAAAAAATTAAAGAGGAAGAAATTCTTCCTAACTCATTCTATAAGACCAGCACTACCCTGATATCAAAACCAGAGAAGGACACAACACAAATTAAAACTACAGGCAATATTCTTATGATTATGATGCAAAAATCCTCAACAAAATACTATCAAACCAAATCCAGCAACATATCAAAAAGATAACACATCATGATCATGTGGCACCTATCCCAGGAATACAAGGATAGTTCAACATATGCAAAAAAAAATCCTGATAAATCACATCAACAGTATGAAGGACAAAAGCCATATGATCATCACAATTGATGCAGAAAAAGTATTTGATAAAATTCAGCATTCTTCATGATAAAAACTCTCAACAAATTAGGTACAGCAGGAATATACCTCAATACAATAAAGGCTATATATGACAGACCCACAGCTAATATCATACTGAATGGGGAAAGCTGAAAGATTTTCCTCTAAGAACTGAAGCAGAGAAAAAAAGGCCACTTTCACCACTCTTATTCAACATAGTATTGGAAACCCTAGTCAAAGGCAAGAGGAAGAAATAAAGGGCATCCAAATTGGAATAAAGGAAGTCAAATAGTGCCTCTTCACGAATAACATGATCTCACATGTAGAAAAACCTGATACTCCACCAAAAAACTCTTAGAACTGATACGTGAATTCAGTAAAGTTTCAGGATACAAAATCACCATATAAAAATCAGTAGCATTTCTATGCATCAATAATGAATTACCTGAAAAAGAAATCAAGAAAGCAGGGTGGAGTGATATGGCAGAACAGAAGACCACATCATTTATAGCCCCTGCAAAAACACCAAATATTGACAACTATCTGCACACAGGAAAGCACCATCACAAGAACCAAAAATCAGGTAAGCAATCCCAGTACCTAGTTTTAAATTCATGTCATTGAAAGAGGCATTGAAGAGGGTCAGAGAGACAGTCTTGAATCAGAGACACCATCCCTCCACCCCCAGCAACGGCCATGTAGCACAGAGAACCTGTACACTTGGGGAAAGGAAAGTGCAGTGACTGGAGGACTTTACATTGAACTCAGTGCTTCCCTGTTATAGCTGAGAGCAAAGACATGCTGGGCTCAGCCAGTGCCCGCTCATGGAGGGAGCATTTGGACCAGACCTAGCCAGAGGGGAATCAGCATCCAATTAGCCAGAACTTGAGTTTCTCAGCAAGCCGCACCACCATGGGCCAAAACCTAGGTAAACTTGAAAGATAACCAAGGACACAAGAACTGCAATTCCTTGGCAACTACTGGGCTGGCTCAGAGCCAGGGAACTAGAATGGCATGTGACCTAGGGAAACATGAGCTAGGGTTGCTAAGGAAGTGCTTTCACCACTCCTCCCCCAACCCCGGTCAGTGTAGCTCACAGCAATGACATTGTCTCCTTCCTTCTGCTGAACGGCAGGAGAGTGAAGAATAAAGAGGACTTTCTTTTGCATCTTGGATACCAGCTCAGCCACAGTAGGAAAGGGCACCATGCAGAGTCCTGAGGTCCCCAATCCAGTCCCTAGCACCCTGCAACCAAAAGGAAACCTGCTTTCTTGAAAAGAAGGACCCAGTCCTTGCAGGATTCATTATCTGCTGACTCAAGAGCCCTGGGGCCCTGAATAACAGGAGTGATATTCAGGTTGTATACCGTGGGTCTTGGGCTCTGAGTCGTGTTGACTACAGGTGTCACTCAGAATATTTCCAGCTGTGGTGGCTATGGTGGAAGACTCCTTCTGTTTCATAAAAGCAGAGAGAAACGTAAAGAGGACATTGTCTTTTACCTTAGGTACCAGCTCAGCCACACTGGGGTAGAGCAACAATCAGGCTCTTGGGGTCTCCAATTCCAGGACTTAGCTCTTGAACAGCATTTCTGGACCAGCGCTGGGCCAGAGGAGAGCCCACTGCCCTGAAGGTGAGTTCCAAGCCTGGCAGAATTTACTGTAAGAGCCTGACTGAAGAGCCCTTGGGCTTTAAGTGAACACTGATGGTGGCCTGGTGGAACCCCCATGTGGGCCAGTGGAGGTGGTGCCTATAGGAAGAGGCTCCCCTGCCTTGAAAAAGAGGAGAGAAAACAGGAAGGATTTTATATTGTGGTCTGAGTGCCAGCTTAGCCACAGTAGAATAGAACATCAGGCAAAATTCTAATGCTTTTGACTCCAAACCCTGGCTCACAGACAGCATTGCTGGACCTGCCTAGGGCCAGGTGGAGCCTGGCACCCTGAAGAGTAGGACACAACATGACTGGCTTTGCCACCTGCTGATTTTAGAGCCCTAGGGCCTTGAGAGAACATAGGTGGTAGCAAGGTAGTGGTTACAGTGGACCTTGGGCAAGACTCAGTGCTATGCTGGCTTCAGGTGTCACCCAACACAGTCCCAGTGTTGGTCACCGCAGGGGTGGTTGTATCACCACACCCCCTGTTCCAGGTGGCTCAGCACAAACAGACCTTTTTTGTTTGGTAGAAAGTAAGGGAAAAGGGAAAAAAGTAAGGGAAAAGTTCTCTGTTTGGTAATCCAGACAACTTTTCTGGATCTTATTCAAAACCACCAAGGCAGTTCCTCTACAAGTCTGCAAAAACCATAGCACTACTGGGCTGGGGGCCCAAGTCCCTTTGAATACCTGGAAGGCCTTCTCAAGAATGGGGGGAAAACACAAGCTCAGACTATGAAGACTACAATTTAAACATAATTATTCAATTCCCAAACACCGACAAATGTCTACAATCATCACAATCATCCAGGAAAACATAACCTCACCAAATGAACTAAATAAAGTACCAGGGACCAATCCTAGAAAAACAGAGACATATGCCCTTTCGGACAGATAATTCAAAATACCTGTTTTAAGGAAACTCAAAGAAATTCAAGCTAAGACAGAGAAAGTATTCAGTATTTTAGCAGATAAACTTAACAAAGGGATTGAAATAATTGAAAAGAATCAAGCAGAAATTCAAGAGTTGAAAAATGCAATTGACATACTGAAAAATGCATCAGAGAAACTTAATAGCAGAATTGATTCAGCAGAGGAAAGAATTAGTGAGCTTGAAGACAGGCTATTCAGAAGATAAAGAAGAAAAAAGAATAAAAACAATAAAGCACACCAATAAGATATAGAAAATAGCCTCAAAAGGGCAAATCGAAGAGCTATTGGCTTTAAACAGGAGACAGAGAAAGAGATAGGGGAGAAAGTTTATTGAAAGATGTAATATCAGAGAACTTCCCAAATCTAGAGAAAGATATCAAGATACAAGTACAAGACGGTTATAAAACACCAAGCAGATTTAACTGAAAGAAGACTATCGCAAGACATTTAATAATCAAACTCCCAAAGTCAAGGATAAAGAAAGGATTCTAAAAGCATCGAGAGCAGAAAACAGATAACATACAAAAGAGCTCCAACACATCTGGCAGCAGACTTCTGAGTTCAAACCTTACAGGCTGGGAGAAAGTGGCCTAAAATATTTTAAATGCTGAAGGAAAAACTTTTATCCTAGAATAGCATATGAAGTGAAAATATCTTTCAAGTGTGAAGGAGAAATAAAGACTTTCCAAGACAAACAAAAGTTGAGGGATTTCATCAACACCAGACCTGTCCTACAAGAAATGCTAAAGGGAGTTCTTCAATCTGAAAGAAAGTATGTTAATGAGCAAGAAGAAATCACCTAAAGGAACAAAACTCACTGTTAATAGTGAGCACACGGAAAAACAGAATACAGAAAAACACCTATAAAAACACAGAATATTATAACACTGTAATTGTGGTGTATAAACTACTCCTATATTAATCAGAAAGACTAAATGATGAGCCAATCAAAAATAATAACTAGGCTGGGTGCAGTGACTCACACCTGTAATCCTAGCACTTTGGGAGGCTGAGGTGGGTGGATTGCTTGAGTCCAGGAGTTAAAGAACAGCCTGGACAAGACAGCAAAACCCTGTCTCTACTAAAAATACAGTAAGTTAGCTGGGTGTCGTGGCTTGTGCCCGTAGTCCCCGCTACTTGAGAGGCTGAGATGAGAGAATCCCCTGAGCCCAGGAGTTAAAGAAAAGCCTGGGCAATATGGCAAATCCCTGTCTCTACTGAAAATACATTTAGCTGGGTGTGGTGGTGTGTGCCTGTAGTCCCAGCTACTTGAGTGGCTGAAATGGAAGAATCACTTGAGCCCAAGAAGTTGAGACTGCAGTGAGCTGTGATTGTGCCAGTGAACTTCAGTTTGAGTGATGAGAGAGAGACCTTGTGTCAAAATAATAATAATGATAATTAGTATCATTATTATTATAGCTACAACAGCTTTTCAAGATATAGTATAATAAGACATAAAGAAAAACAACAAAAAGTTAAAAAGTGGGGTATGAAATTAAAGTGTAGAGTTGCTACTAGTTTTCTGTTTGGATGTTTGTTTGTTTATGCAATAAGTGTAAAGTCATTATCAATTTAAAATAATGGGTTATAAGATAGTATTAGCAAGCCTCACAGTAACATCAAATTGAAAAACATACAATGGATACACCAGCAAATAAAAAGCAAGAAATTAAATCATACCACCAGATAAAATCACCTTCACTAATAGGAAGATGGGAAAGAAAGAAAGAAAAGGCCACAGAACAACCACAAAACAAGTGACAAAATAGCAGGAGTAAGTCCCTGCTTATCAATAATAGCATTGATTATAAACGGACTAAACTCTCCAATCAAAAGATATAGAGTGGCTGAATGGATGAAAAAACAAGACCCATTGATCTGGTCCCAGCAAGAAACACACTTCACTTATAAACACTGAAAATAAAGGGGTGGAAAAAGATATTCCATGTCAATGGAAACCAAAAATGAGCAGTGGTAGTTATACTTACAACAGACAAAAGTAGATTTAAAGACAAAAACCATAAGACAAAGAAAGTCATTATCTAATGAAAAAGGAGTCAATTCAGCACCAGGATATATTGATTTTAAACATATATGCACCCAACACTCGAGCACATAGATACATAAAGCAAATATTATTAGACCTAAAGAACAGGATAGACTTCCATACAATAATAGCTGGAGGCTTCAAAAGCCCACTTTCAGCATTGGACAGACCTCCTGGACAGAATCTCAGCAAACATTGGACTTAATCTGCATTACAGAAGAAATGGACCTAATAAATATTCACACAATATTTCATCCAAAGGCTGAAGAATACACATTCTTCACAGCACATGGTCAGTGTCAAGGACAGACAATATCTTCGGTCACAAAACAAGTCTTAAAACATTAAAAAAAAAAACAGATAAAATCAAACATCTTCTCTGACCACAATGGAATAAAACTAGAAATTAAACGAGGAATTTTGGAAATGATACAAACAAGTGGAAATTAAACAATATGCTCCTAAATGACCAGCAGGTCAATGAAGAAATCAAGAAGGAAATTTTAAAATTTCTCAAAACAATTGATAATGAAAACACAACATAATAAAACTTATGGGATACAGCAAAAGCAGTAGTAAGAGAGAAGTTTATAGTTATAAGTGTGCACATTGATAAAGAAGAAAAATTTCAAATACGTAACCTAACAATGTATCTTAAACAACTAGAAAAACAAGAGCAAACTGAACCCAAAATTGGTAGTAGAAAAGAAATAATAAAGATCATAGTAGAAATACATGAATTTGAAATGAAGAAAACAATACAAAAG
The DNA here is from genome assembly GCF_000001405.40 of Homo sapiens. Classification (NCBI taxonomy): domain Eukaryota; kingdom Metazoa; phylum Chordata; class Mammalia; order Primates; family Hominidae; genus Homo; species Homo sapiens. The sequence goes on along the minus strand of NC_000004.12, from coordinate 95,568,439 downwards.
ATCAATAAAACAAAAAAATTGTTTTTTTTTTTTTGGACAGATAAAATTGACAAACTTTTAGCTGGATTAACAAAGACAAAAAGGGAGAAGACCCAAATAAATACATCCAGAGATGAAAAAGAGACATTACAACTGATATCACAGAAATTCAAAGGATTATTAGTGGCTACTGTAAGCAACTATATGCCAATGAATTGGAAAATCTAGAGGAAGTGCATAAATTCCTAGACATACACACTTACCAAGATTGAACCATGAAGAAATCCAAAACCTAAACAGACCATAAACAAGTAATGAGTGAAAAGTCTCCCAGTAAAAACAAAAAGCCTGAAACCCAATATATTTAAAGAACTAATACCAATTCTACTCTTCTACTCAAACTATTCTGAAAAATAGATGAGGAGGGAATACTTCCAAACTCATTCTACAAGGCCAGTATTATTCTGATACCAAAACCAGACAAAAGCACATCAAAAAAAGAAACCTATAGGCTAGCATCTCTGATGAATATTGATGCAAAATCCTCAACCAAATACTACCAAACCAAATTCAAAAGGATAACTGATCATGGGCAAGTGAGATTTACTCTAGGTATGCAAGGATGGTTCAGCATTCACAAATCAATCAATTTGATATATCAACAGAATGAAGCACAGAAATCATGTGATTATTTCAACTGATGCTGAAAAAGCATTTAATAAAATTCAACATCCCTTCATAATAAAAACAATAAAAAAAACTGGGAATAAAAGGAACATACCGCAGCATAATAAAAGCCACGTGTGACAGACTCACCGAATGGGGGAAAAACTATAAGCCTTTCCTCTAAGATCTGGAACATGACAAGATGCCAACTTTCACCAGGCTTATTCAGCGTAGTACTGGAAGTCCTAGCTAAAGCAGTCAGACAAGAGGAAAAAAAATAAAGTGCATCCACATTGGAAAGGAAGAAGTCAAATTTTCATTGTGTGTGTATGATATAATCTTACATTTGAAAAAAATCTAAAGACTCCACAAAAAACTACTAGAACTGCAGTATACAAGATCAACATACAAAAATCAGTAGCATTTCTATATGCCAGCAGCGAACAATCTAAAAAAGAAATCAGAAAAGGAATCCCACTTACAATAGCCATAAATAAAACTAAATACCTAGGAATTAATTTCACCAAAGAAGTGAAAGATCTCTACATAAAAATTATAAAACACTCATGCAAGAAATTGAACAGGACACACAAAAAAAGGAAATGTATTCCAAGTCTGTTGATTGGAACAATCAATATCGTTAAAATGTCCATGCTACTCAAAGCAATCTACAGATTCAATGCAATCCCTATCAAAATACCATAATATTCTTCAAGAAACAGAAAAAAATTCTAAAATTTATATGAAATCAAAAAAGACCCAGAAGAGCCAAAGGTATATTGAGCAAAAAGAACAATACTGGTGGAATCACATTGCCTGACTTCAAGTTATACTACAGAGCTCTAGAAAACAAAACAGCATGATACTGTCATAAAAACAGACACATAGACCAATGAAACAGAATAGAGAATCGAGAAGCAAATCTGCATACCAACAGCAAACTCGTCAACAAAGGTGCCCAAAACATGTATTATCAATAAGTAGGAACTTACTCCTACCATTTTGTTATTAGTTTTCTGGTTGTTTCGGGGTCTTCTCTTTTCTTCCTTCCTGTCTTCCTCTTAGTGAAAGCGATTTACTTGGTGCTATGATTTAATTTCTTGCTTTTTATTTTTTGCATATCCCTTGTATTGTAATTTGAGGTTACTATGAGGCTTGCAAATACTATCTTGTTGCCCATTACTTTAAATTGATGATGACTTTACGCTTATTGCATAAACAAACAAACATGTAAAAGAAAACTAATAGCAACTTATGCTTTAACTTCATGACATTGGTTTAAGAAATGATTTTTATATGACCCTAAAACACAGGCAACAAAGCAAACATAGAGAAATAGGAACATATAAAACTAAAAAGCTCCTGCACAGAAAAAGAAACAATCAAGAGTGAAGAGAGAACATGTAAAAAGAAATAAAATATTGCAAATTCATTATCAAACAAGCAACAAGTTCCTTGTGAATACACAAGGAACTCAAACCACTCAGCAGCAAAAATTAATCCAATTGAAAAATAGGCAAAGATTCTAAACAGACATTTTTCAAAAGAAGACATAAATGATCAAGTATATGAAAAAAATGCTTAACATCATTAATCATAAGAGAAATACAAATCAAAACCACAGTGAGATATCATCTCATCTCAGTTAGCATATCTATCATCAAAAACACAAAAAATAACAAATGCTGGTAAGGATGCCATGGAAAGGGAACTCTCATACACTGTTGATGGGAATGTAAGTTAGTATAGCCATTTTGAAAAACAGTATGCAGGTTTCTCAAAAAAACTAAAAATAGAACTATTGTACAATTCAGCAATCCCAATACTGAGTATTTATCTAAGGGATGAAAAATAGGAATACCAAAGAGATACCAGGACTTCCATGTTTATTGTAGCTTTATTGAATAAAGTTCAATTTTTAGTTCTATTTTTAGTTCTTAGTTTTAGTTTAACCAAGACATGGCCTCAACCTAAATGTCCATTGCAGGCGAATGGACAAAGAAAATGAATATATGCACAATGGAATACTATTCAGCTATGAAAAATGAAATCCTATCATTTGGGGTGACATTAATTACCTGGAGGACATTATGTTAAGTCAGGTAGAAAAAAGGCAAATTATTCTCCCTTATGTGTAGGAGTGTGTTAGGGCATTCTTGCATTGCTGTAAAGAAATACCTGAGACTGGGTAACTTATAAGGAAGAGGTGTAACTGGTTCATGGTTCTGCAGGCTGTACAAGCATGGCACCAACATTTGGTTGGCTTCTGATAGGGGGCTCAGGAAGCTTACAATCATGGTGGAAGGTGAAGGGGGAGCAGGCATATCACGTGACAAAAGCAAGAACAAGACTGGGTGGTTGTGGGGAGGTGTAACAATTTACAACAACCAGATCTGGTGAGAACTCACTCATTATTGCAAGGACAGCATCAAGCCATGACCCAAACACCTCCCACCAGGCCTCACCTCCAACATGGGGGATTACAATTCAACATGAGATTTGGTCAGAGACAAACATCCAAATTATATCAGGGAGTTTATAAAAATTTTTCTTATAGAGGTCGAGAGTGGAATTGTGGTTATTAGAGGCTGGGAAGGGTTGCGGGGAGGAAAGTTTAGGGAGATGTTAATAAAGTTACAGCTAGACTGGAAGAATACTAGTGTTCTGCAGCACTGAAGGGTGACTATGGTTAACAATAATTTAGTGTATATTTTCAAAAAGCTAGAAGGGAGAATTGTAAAAGTTTACAACACAAGGAAATGGTAAATGTTTGAGATGATGGATATGCTAATTATCCTAATTTGATCATTACCTATTGTATACATGTATTAAAAGATCACTGTATCCCATACATATGCACAATTATCATATGTTAACTAAAAATAGAAGGAAAAATAATAAACGTGGATAAACGTTAAAAAAAAGAAGGAAATTATCTAGGGCTGGGATAAACAGATAATCCAAAGAAGGTAAATGAGATCATACATGGCTTCCATCCCCACGTTCTGGCCATTGACTATGGAAGGCATAGTTTTGCAACTGGAGGTTTGTAGAGATTTATAGAGTAAGAAGTTGGATGCACTTTTCTGCAACTGACTTTGAAGGGAAAGAGATGCCCTGTGTGCCCCCCATGCATGCCGGGAGAAAATATGACATCAAAGGAGACCATCAGAGACCCAGGCGGGCATGAAGCCAAATGAGGTATCTACAAAGTCAAAGCAGCAAATCTACCCCAGAAGGGGTGAAATTCTATAATTTTGAAACATGACTATTTATATCCTCTTTGTATTCTGTTTTGTACCTCTTTCTAATATAATACGGCCACTTTTGAAAATGTATTATCTCAACTGTTTTGAGGGAAACAGGCTGCTGTCCACACTTGAGTAAGAATGGGAGAGGGTACGGATAGCCTTACAAAGAAAAACCTTCAAGAGGAAGTGAACCCTAACAATACACGGGGGCTGCAGTGGGGAATAGAAAGTTTAGGATGGAGTAGGTGTTCAGAAATGTCCTCAAAACATTTTGCCCTATGCCTTTCAATGAGAGTGCCCCTGTAGAGGACTGATTAAACTTGATATATTGACCCTTCTGTGAGGTAAACAGAATCAGAAAGGAGCTGGCTTTACGATGCTCACCAGGAGAGCCTACTGTTTCAAAGGCCTACACAGACAGGCCCAGCAAGTGGATGGCGAGAAATACAACACTGATTCCAACACAGAAATGCTTGCTCTCTGCTCTGTTCAAAAAGGGAAGCAAGGACTTATATGTTTATGCAATCATTTATTCCTTTAATCATTTTATAAATATTCACTGGCCACCTCCTAAACTTTGTGTTTTGTGCCAATGGCCAGAGAAAGGCAGAGCTGCTCTGATGTGGTGCAGGGAAAGCTCAAGTCTTGCAGGGAGTTCAGAGACTCCCACTGCTTGCAGGAGAGGAAGCCACTGCAGCTCTGGGTTAGTTCAGCATTCAGACATGCAGAATTCTGCAAGGCCTGTAGGTGTATGACCCACCATATGCTAACCTTCAGACAAACCAGGGCAGACAGGAAACTGCTCTATCACTCAAAATGTTATTAACAGGTTTGGAAAAGATTTCTTCAGCCACTGAAGCCTGAGTATGAACATGAATGGTAAATATATATAGTAAAATTAGAAAAAAACAGAAGTAATTTTGCACGAGAGAAAAGATTAAACTAAAGGGAAGATTGCAAGGTGAGGTGGCATAAAAGAAAAAAATTGGACTTGGTAGGAAAATCCTATTTTGCACTTACTATATACCATGAATGATATTAGGTCATTTTATATCCATTTGTAGGGTGATACTTCAAAACAACTCTATTTATTCCAATTTTATCATTCCCTATTTAAAGATAGGTAAACCAAAGTTTATTTAGTTGGTTTAAGTAACTTGCAGAAAATCATACAGCTAGTAAAGATCAGAAGTGAAACTGATATCACATATATTCTATTCCAGAGTTTTTCCAATATGAGCAGAAATCAGAAGAGATCATCATCTGGTGTTGAATCTGTCTCTATCTTTCTTTGGACAAGTAAATTTGGCTTTTGGGGCCTCAGTTTCCTTATCTATAAAATTGTGTTCCCTTGGGTCTCATCTTAATTATGATTGAAAAATTGATCATGCTTTGGTTCTTTACAGAACATAGGTGGAGAGAAAAAGGGCAAATGTAGAAAAGGCTGAAGTCGTGGGAAGAATGGGCGGTAGAAGGATACAGAGTAAGAGGTTAAAAGGTTAGAAGAGGATTGGGAATTATAAGTTGCAAGGAGGGTAAAATTTTAAGTGTATACTCTGTGTAGGGGTGTGTGTGTGTGTGTGAGTAAGGGTGTGTGTGTGTGTCACGTACGTTAGTATCACTTGGAAATGCTGGAAAACTAATGACAGACAAGTACTGGTCTGAACCCCAGAAGAAAGAACTGGTTCACACACATACACACACACACTCCACATCTCCCACATAGCAATTACTAATCTTGAAAATCTGGGCAGGTTGCCTCACAAGGAAAACATAAAATGCAGAGGCTACTGTTAGCCAAGTGGCATTTGATCTGGTAGCCAGGCATGCATTCAGGGATAAGCTAGCTTTTCCACCCCCAGGACTCACATGGCTTCCAGCATGACCCTCATTTGCCTCAGTCCGTTCCTCTCTTCTGTTAAGTCAGCCTTATGTATCCACAAGTTCTGCATCCACAGATTCAACCAACCACAGATGGAAAATATTTGAAAAAAAAAAGCAGCATAACAAAAAATACAAATTAAAAACAGTACAGTATAACAACTATTTACAGAGCATTCACATTGTATTAGGTATTATAAGTAGAGATGATTTAAGGTGTACGGAAGGATGTGCATAGGTTATATGCAAATACTATGCCATTTTACATCAGGGACTTGAGCATCTGTGGATTTTGGTATTCTCAGGGGTCCTAGAACTAATTCCCGTGAATACCCAGGGACGACTCTATAAATTCCCTTCCAGGAAACTCACAGCTGGGCTAGAAAGGCTTCTGCATCTACTTATCAAAGCAAAACTTAAAACACAATCTTTTCTGTAGTGTATGGAAAATTAATCCAATTCTGACAACTTCTTCTCTTTATATAGTCCAAATTCATCTATTTACAACACTATCAAAACAAAGGAAATGACATTATACTCCCAACCTCTCAAGAATAGGAACCTTCAGTACCTTCAGAGGAACACAAGAAACACCCTTTGGGTGTGACAAAGGTTGTTTATGCTCCGGGAAACCCAGTTAACTGTCTGGAACTTCTCTCTGGCATCCCTTACTTGTTTGGCATTAAAAAACTACCTGAAATTCTCAGCATTTAGCTCCTGCTTATAAGTGAGAACATGTAATATTTGGTTTTCTGTTCCTGCATTAATTTGCTAAGGATAATGGCCTCCAGCCCCATCCGTGTACCCACAAAGGGCATAAATCTAGTTGTTTTTATGGCTGCATAGTATTCCATGGTGTATATGTACCACATTTTCTTTATTCAGTGTACTATTGATGGGCTTCTTAATACCTGAGTGATGAAATAATCTGTACAACAACCACCCATGATACAAGCTTACCTACATAACAAACCTGCGTACATACCCTCGAACTTAAAATAAAAGTTAAATCAAAATGAAACTACCTGAAATATATAATTGTGTGAATGCTCAGACATCTGCATATAGACTTTCCCCTATTTCTTTAGTTTAACAAGTGGATAGGAAAGTTTATAAACACATAGTACATATACTATTTTTCATGGTTGGTTTAAAGGAGTTCAAACATAATTTTGACTATAATTATTTTCAATCTCAAACCTAAATTCAATGGTTTTACTAATAATATTTGTGTGTTGCTTTAGTTATGTCACATATGTACGATTCATTTATTTTGTGGCCTAATACATGAAAATACAACCAAAATAAAAATTATCTTTGAATGACATTGTGGGACCTGCAATTCAGTGTCACCCATACAAATGGAAATAATGTAGGATTTGAACTATTCCGAAGTTTTTAAATGGGCCAATTTAAAGATATTATTAAGATGCTCAGGTTTTGAAAATTATGACATAAAATGCAAAGAAGAGCAATCAGACAAGTTGCTACCAGGAAAAGCATTCATTTTTTACTTTGCAGCTCAAATCAACATCTCCATGACATTCATGTATTTATAAGCTCTAAAGCAGAGCTTCACAGTGGGGGCGAGGTGGGAGACTATCAGAATCACCCAGGAAGCCTTTTCAAACTACACCAGTCCTCCTCTCCCTGCAGTCCCTCCTCCCCCTGAGATTCTGCCTAGATGTGTCTCTGAACTTGAGCAACACCATCTGTTCACTTACAAAGAGGCATTTTTATCTCTAAAAGGGCAGGTTTCTGCACAGGAGCCTCTAACATGTATAGAAGGCAGGGAGGGGAAACCCTGAAACATACATCAATAACATAATCTCCCAATTGAATGCTGACATGTTAAAAGATGGATATGTCTATAATATTTTCTGAGTGATATATTCAATTGGTTAGCCTTTATGCTAATGAGATGAAAATTGCTATTTTAAATACACACATAGGTTAGTAAGCTTCATTCTGCAAGTTTTCCATAAATTCAGGCTTCATTCTTGGAAATTTTCATAAATGCAAGCATTTGTAGAATTAAGTAAAAGAGTGTGGCAATCTCAGCTCAAATCAACTAGTGCTATTAGAAAAGCATGGTGGGTGAGTAACATCAGCTTTCCATCATAAGGAATATGAAAAGCCATTCTTATTATATACACATTTCCCATTGGGTGAATTCCTATGACCAACATGTCACATTCCCTTGAATGTTTTCCCTCTTTAAGAAATATTGTGAACATTTGTAGATATTGTTCTATTCTGCACAGAACTGACCTTCTAGGTCTCCTTTGCTGCAAGTGTTACCTTGAGTTTGTGAACATAAGGTATAAACAGAAACACGCTGCTCACATTTTTATGTTATAATCACATAATTGAATCATTTTCTTCTATCATGCTTTTGCCAATTTATTTGGAATATGGAATATGTTGAGGTTTTGAAACTAAGTATTCATAAACTATTTCATTTTGAAGAGTAAAAATATTTGTATGAGTGGATGTAGCATTAGATCATTTATGAAATAAAAATACTTAAAATGTTACAAATATATAGTCATGTGTCACTTAACATCAGGGATATGTTCTGAGAAATGCATCCCTAGGTGATTTTGCCATTGTGCGAACATCATAGGGTGTCCTTAGACAAACCCAAATGAAATAGCCTACTACACACCTAGGCTATATGGCATAAGCCTACTGCTCCTAGGCTACAAGCCTGTACAGCATGTTACTGTACTGAATACTATAGGCAAATGTAACACAATGGTATTTGTGTATCTAAACATAACTAAACACAGAAAAGGTACAGTAAAAAAATACAATTGGTATAATCTTACGGGACCATTGTTGTATATGCTGACTCTTGTTGACTGAAACATCGTTATGCAGTACATGACTATTTAATATAACAAGCCATTTATATCAGTGACATGACTAAAAGATTTCTGAACCATCTTTTACAAATAGGTACTTAGTAAATTATAATAATAATTTTTAAAAGCTTATATTTATTAATGTTTACTCTATCCAAGCATGATTATTAGTGAAGTATGTGAATGAATTTGTTTGACCTACACAACAATATTACAAGGTAAGTACTACTATAAAGTGGCTATTACTATCCCAATTTATAGACAGGGACAGATAACTTATAAGCAGCTCATGAAATTTTCTGTGGTGACAAAGTTAGTAAGGGACACAGCAGGAATTAGAAGTTAGGAGGCATTTTTGCTTCAGAGTTCATGCTCTGAAACACTTGACCACGGTAGAGGTGCGCTGGTGCCCCGTGGCTCATCCTTGTGTTGAGTCTTGCTAGCCCTGCAGCACACGATTACTACCCATGCCCTTGGCTTCTACCAGTGTGGAGATCAAGAAAGTTACTATGGTTTTTTAACTAGTGTTACCTCCTGTGTCCTTTTTCACTAAGGGCATTCAGGATGTCTCTGATGCAAAATTGCCTTCGATGCTCAGAATGCAGAATAGCTTCCTTTAAAAAAAATTTTTTCCAGGGTACATCATGTTGATATAAGGTGATCTCCCCCTCTTAACTTAACTAGAAGTTTCTATTATTCCTTCCCTATTAAATACACCCCATGGAGAGCAATAGAAACAAAGACTTGACTTCTTTGTTCTTTGGAGCAAAGTCCTGTGCTACTTTGCATTGGAGTAGGTGATGATGATTTAAATATTACTATAACACAGTAAAATCCTTCTTGAGAAGCTAGCTAAAAGTCTAGAATAGTAACATATATAAACAAGCAGGCAAATCATTGCAAGGCATTTATTCTTAAAAATATCTAACTTGTAATATTTTCATAAATTATAGTGTTGGATCGCCCACTGAATCCTGCTCCATAATACCTGGCTGTTCTTGGCTAGTGGGGTAGTGGCCCTTGTGGGTGATTATCTGAACTATTGCTTCCTTACTATTTAACTTCATCTCATTCTTTGGGGACTTGTATTTCACACAGTTCTGTTTAAAATACCTCTAGAAAATTCTCCCTTGAATTGTTTTACTCCTTCTTTCTTTCTCTGTATTTTATATTTGTTTTCCTCCATGTGATGACAAAAATTTATTTCCGTTTTTACCTTCTTTGTTCTTTTAATTTAATTTCTTAACATACCGTAAACAAACAAAAAACAACTATGATCAACATAAGGCTAGTTAGCACTAGTGCAACACCTATGTTAAAAAAAAATCCTTCTATTTCCTATTGAAATTAGACATGAAACAAGAAGAGGGGCTTCACGTTTGGAATTGTTGGAAATAACATGAAATGAACTTAGAAATCTCCTTAAAAACTTTACACTTTCCTCCTCATTCTTCTTTATTTTTTCTACAAGTATAGAGATCAAATGTTTTGCTTTTGTTTCATTTAAGTTATATTTGGATTGGATTATATATGCTGTAATAGCATTGTTTTCCACATAATGACAGATGATTAACAAGATTGTGTGGGCTGAATTCCAAACCATAATTTATGGCATGTTTCTGCAGGATAAAGCACAACACATTTCTAACAATAAAGTTATAAGTAAATTTAGAAAAAAAAGAAAGTAAAAGATTTCTAATTATAATGACTGATTTAGGTTACATACTATAAAATATTCTTATTTATTATTTTACTTTAAGTTATTTATTTATTTTTAAAAGATTTATTGATTACCTTCTCTGTGCCAGGTAGAGTTTTAGGGACTTTGAGAAACAAATAATATGGCTATATATCCAAAATGTTGGTGAGTCATTACAGTATTTCTTGAATAAACGATTTAAAGGCCCAATGAACACCAGTAATCCTAAGAAATTAATGTGTCCCACTTTCCTTTAAATCTTATTTTTAATTCTTTAATGACTTTTAATTAAGTTGAGGGTGGCTTACTGTTACAAGTAGTTTTTCAGGGTTACATAGTTTATTCTTAATTATATCATGAATATTTAATAACATAAATTTCTCATCCTGTGTTCTGGCAGTAGTAACCACCATCCCAATCCGGCATCTTGTATATATAGCCTTCACTCATTTTCTGCTTACTACTACTTACATCCAGGCTCTCGCTGCTTCTCATCTTGATTGTTGGAATATACTCCTAAATGGATACTCCATGATTTTTCTTCCCACTTTAGTCCAGCTTGCACATTGCTGCAAGAAATGGTCATGTTATTACCTCATTGCCCAAAGACCTTTGGTCACTTCCTATTCTATGCATAATGTGGGACAGACTTCCTAGCAAACCACAAAACACCTTTGAAAAAATAGCTCTATCTTCATTTCCAAATTTTCCTGCCAGTATTTGCCTGCATCCAGATAAATTCAACTTCAGATCCTAAGTTGACACTAATTTAGCATAGGCAAGTTAACCCAAATAAACCTCAATTTCCTCATGCTTAAAATGAGGATAATAATGATACCACTTCATATGTAGTATTGTTGTGTGTATTAAATGAATATCTCTCTTTATACAAAACAACGTGTTTGATTAATGAGTGTTCAAAAATGTTAACAATTATAATTTATATAATGATAATGATAAGAGCATTAAGCATGATGCTTTCTGGCCTCCAACCTAAGTCACTCAGTATTTGCTATTCCTGTGCTCCTTTTGCCTGCCGTGGCTCCAGTTCTTTCTTCTCCCCAACTCAGCAAAAGCAAATTCTATTTATCCTTCAAGACCTGGGTCTAATGTGCTTTCACTTAAGATCTCACTGATTCCTCAATGTGAAGTAAGTGTCCTTTCCTCTCATCTCCCATAGTGATGTTTCTATAACTCTCTCACCGCACTTTTCAGAGTCAGCCTATTTAGTTCTATAGTCTGTCTTATTTTCTATTAGCTTAGTAATACTATCAGGGAGATTGTCATTTTATTTATCTTGAGCTTAATCTGAGGACACGATTTCTCACACTAGGCACATTAGACACCTCTTGCTGCAACAGTGCTGCATAAAAAATTAACCCTGAACTCGGTAGCTGAACACAAGCACCTTTTTTTTCTTGCTCATGAGTCATTTGGTCTGATGCAACTCAGGCTCTGGGCTCCACACAGCAAGCACAAGGCTCCAGGCTGCCCATCTCTCCATGTGTCTCTTATCCACCTTGGTTTGGTGGTTACCTGGAAAATGTTCTAATGCCTTAGGACTAATGGTGAGAGCACATGAAAATGAGTAGAGGTATGCAATGGGAGCAACTGGCACACTGTAGCACCTGCCCAAGATCACTGGCCAAAGCAAGTCCCATGGCTAAGCTACCATCAGTGAGAGAGGAAGCCAGTACGACCCACAGTGCAGTGGGTGGTCCTGCAAGGCATAGTGCAAAGGAAATAATCGGGTAATTCTATTAACTGGAAAGGAGTAAAGAATAAAGAATACTGCAACCTATCATCCTCTGTTCATTCTAGAACTGCTTTTTTAAGGACAGGAGTTCCCTGTAATGGTCTTTGGAAAAGCAGGTCTGGGGCAGTGAGGAATCATTGAATAAGATTTTAGGACAGTAAAATGACAGGTTTTACATTTTAGAAGGTCTTTCTGGGAGGTGTGGAGAGCATGGATTAGAATGTAAAGGCAAACTAGCTACTAAGGAAATAATTACAAGACCTCTCGGTAACAAGCAAATATATTGTGAGTCTGTAGGGCTGGTGATAATGGGATAGATCCTGTAGCCCTTTAAGTAGTGAAATTGAATGGACTTATAAAATAGTAATTGAATAGGTGATGTGGGCAAAGGAGGGAGATACTGAGAATAGCTCCAGAGGTTATACTAGGGTGGTATCATTCATGTATAGAAAGCCACATCACTAATACTATTCTTCAGATGATTATGTAAATTAAGTACAATAGACAATGTAAAGCATATCTTACCATAATGACATCTTCAGTATAGACATATTACAAAGCACTTTCACACAGATTTTATAGTCACAGGAACTTTGTGCATTCATATTGTTATCATTTCTTATAACAAATACGTGCAAAGAACTTACAGGGATTTCTGAGCAAATAACTTAGATAAATGGAGACTTAAATTCATGTTTCCTGATCCGGAGTCTTCCCACCATTCCATTATGTATTTTATTTCTTCCATCTGTAAAATGAGAAAAACGACTATGGTCTAACTTGGCAGATAAATTTAAAATAAAATGAGATATTAGAAAAGCTCTGGTAAGCAATAATTATAATCTCTATCCCCAGTAATACTCTTCTAAATTAGATATTCTATTATTTTCCTTAAGTTTTTATTGACCTTTTCATTGTTTGCTCCCTCTAATAGCAGTTACAACATGCTACACCAATGCAGAAATCACACTGGATTTTATTTATCTCTTCCTTTATTTCTTCTTTTTGTCTTTCTTCTTTCCCTTTCTTCCTTTGTCCCCTGCATCCTTTCTTCTTTTCTCCCTTTCCTTTCTTTTTTCTCCATCTTTCCTGGTATCTTTCTTTATTTTTTGCTTTGCTTCTTTTTTATAAATATTATTTCTACAGTCCAACTATAAACTCCATGAAACTCTACCTCAATGCTACACAATTTCCAAAAGTTCAGTAAATACACTTTAGTGAACTGAATAATGGAGTCCTTTCCATCTTTCTATTTCCCAATGTGATAGAAAACACACTCACCCTTCCCCTGTTTTGGAGACTCCAGAGACTGAGGCAAGAGGATCACTTGAGGCCAGGAGTTCAAGGCTGTCGTGCCCTATAATTGCACCTGTGAATAGCCAGTGAACTCCAGCCTGGGCAACATAGCAAGACTCCATCTCTAAAAAAAGAAAAAAGAAAAAAGAAAACACTTTCCTCCCTTTTCTCCTTTTTTTCTCAACCAACTATAGAACTATTTTTCATTTACCTGTAATTCTTCAAATACACCCTCAAATGCCCTGTCTTAATGTCTTTCTTTCTGTGCCTTCCCCTTGTTGCTCCTCTCCAACAGAGTTGTGTCCAACTCAGATGATCTGGCCAACATGCACAACACCCTTCTCCTTATCCACCATTTGTGATTGATCTTAGGGGGCTATTTGACAGACCGTCAAGGAAATGGAAACTACTTGGGCTGAGGGCTTCCAGAAAAGTTATTTGGAAGGCATCTAGGCTAGATGCAGCCCCTCAGGACTGTTCCACCTTCTTCTGCCTGAAAAGTGAAACATGACTCCTGGAGGTGGAAAAGCTATCAAGCAACTGTGAGAATGAAAGCTGTACATTCTGGAGCATGGAGCCAAGACATGAAAAGAGCATAACTGAGCTTCCACAGTGGCCATGTACTGTCTACTCCCAGGTTCCTTATCGTTAGAGATAAATACACCCATTGTGTGAAGAACAGTATTGCTGATACACAAGTGTGTGTCTTACTTTTAGGTAAATCTTCTTCTCAGGCTCCCATATCCTTATATTCCCACAACATTTTTGTGTTTATTTAAAATCCTTTTGTTTATTCATTTATATTGCCTGTAAGATTCTGAGCCATTGCTACACAAGGACTATACCTCATGCATATTTTTCCCTAGGGATCCTAGAGTGGAACCACAATATAACAGGGGGGAAGTGAAAGTTTTCTGAATTGAATTGGATTTAATTCTTCCAGTCAGTTAATGGGAAAAGCAATCCACAGGGGGCTGGCTGCTCTTCAGCCTTTCTTAACTAGTGCTCTTCTTTTGCTACAGTGATGTGTTGTTGCACAAAAGCCTGGAGAACTCATCTTGCCTCATATACCACAGAATAGGGATTTGTTATTTTGTCTGCCCTACATCCATTCTCTTTGGCATCTTTTTTTTTTTTTGTATTAATCATTTTCTATTGTATCCTTTTGGAGAACCCCTTATCCCCATTTTCAATCCAAGTTTCCAGTTGGCAAATATTGGCACATGACCAGGCCTTGCCATTCAGTATATGCCAAACATCTGGCCATGGTAATTGCCTCAGTTGTGAGTATGTGGCCCAAGATAGGCCAGGGCCATAATTCTGTATTTATTTTTTGCCATTTGGAAACGAGTGTGCTTTGTGTTGAGATTGACAATGATAAAGACAATGTAAACCTGGAGCTGCTGGGAATCCCAGGATGGAGATCATAAGTCTGTGAATGAAACCAAAACAGAGGAGAGCATAACCAAGATATTGAGGGTGGGGGGAAGTACTAAGTCCCATGAGTGATATTTAAATTCATGGGTCTAAGACATCATCCCTCAAATCAGACTGTCGCTAGTAAATACTAACTGTGTGTGACCTTGGGCAAAGTTACATAACCACTCTGTTTCCTCATTTATGAAACGGAGATAATAATGGCACTTTCATTCAGTTATGATGATTAAATGAGATAGCACATGTAAAGAGCTTAGAAAGTGCCTGACACACAGTGAGTGATAGTAAATGGTATCTATTATTAAATAGATATTTCTTATCCATAGTTTTTGAGTTATGCACAGTGATAAATTATCTTTTTGCTTAAGCTGGTTCGAGTTGGGTTTCTTTCACTTGCAACCAAATGGGTCTTATCTAATAGAATTAATAAAAAGCAGAAAGCCCTAGAGAGTTTTGGTTTATGACAAGTTAAATCTCTTTCTCTGGGCTAAGGCAGGGAAGGAGGATTGAATCAACTGAATCTAGACCATCTGGCTCTCCTTCGTTGATGTCTATCAGTAACATTATGTGAGGTCTCTGAACTCCCAACTTGTAGGAAAGGAGTTTTCCTCATCACCATCCTATTTATTCACTAAAATCCTCTTTCTCCTATGTTGCCAGTTAATGCAGTTAATAATATCCCTGGTATGAAGATTTATTTTTAAACCTACACAAAAAATATAAAAAGTGAGGAATCAAACATATAAGGAGAGAGATACAATGAAAGAAAATATTTCCATAATTAAAATATATGATCAATTGTTTTTGATTTAAGCTTTAAACTGGAAACTTTTTCAGTACTAGTTCCGAGTAAATGATATTATTATGAAGCAGCCTACATGCTAAATAGCATACTTTTCTTGGTGTAGATTTCTGGAGGGATATGCAGGGGATTTGCATGCTTAATTCCCATTAGCACCTGTCACTGGGATTTATTATCCTAGAGTTAATTCTCCACTCACTGCAGCCAAGAAAAAGAAAGCCCTTGTATATGGATTTAAATGAAGCTTTTCATTTTTCAAGATGAGATGAATTTCCTGTCTGTTCCTTAAACACCTGCAGTATTCCAACCCTAAAAAGTCAAATTCCAATAAATTTTTGGTGAAAATTTGGCAAAACTTGATTTTATTCAACAACTAGAAAAGCCTACTCATAATTTGATAACTTGAGAGGCTGAAGAGGAGAGGAAGAAGGTTTAATGAAGGACTTAGCTCAATTTTAAATCCATTGGTTCTGATTCAATCCATTCAATATTCAGTAAGTATTTATTGATCACCTATTATGTACAAGGTATTGTTCCAGGTTCTGGGTATAGAGCACTGAATGTATTAGAAAAAAATTTCTCCCCTGAGAAGCATACATTTTATTGCAGACTGCATATATATATACATGTATACACACACACACACACAAATATATATATACACATATATGTACATATATAAAGTAAGTGTTATATGCAAAATCAAAGCTGGCAAATGATATTTTGGATGATAGATTGTTGCTATTTTAGGTAACTTGATCAGTGAATGCCTCCCTAAGCAGTGTCATTTGAACCCAGATCTCGATGACTTTAGTAAACCTATTCTCAGGAGCCTATAAAACACTATTATTTCTCTCATGAGGAAAAAATGTGATGATCAACAAAAGTAGTCAGGATGTTAATTCACAAGACAAGTTCCATCTGTACTTGTAGAGAGCAGGAAACTTGCCTGCTGTGTAAAGCTGATGTATTGCTGGTGTTTTTCCTGTCCTTTGTGTGGTGCTCTCACTCTCTTCCCCCTTTTCCACCTCATTACTCTATACCACTTCTCAAACCATTCTCCTGCCATCTTTAGGCTGAATTTCAGTATTTAACTACATTTCCTCTTTTAATCTCGTATTCTTTATTTTAAGGAACTAATTGCATGTGGTATCTGTCACTGAGTACCTCAATACCCCAAACAGGAGTAGGCGACAATTTCAACCTTCTTTAGCTGTCCTAGACTTTGAGGAGTCTTCCCCATTGAGCTTTTTTGGCAGGAAATCAGTCAATATTGATTGAGTACCAACTATATATCAGGCTCAGTTTAGGAGCTGTGGTTGAAATAATGAACAAAGGCAAAATCTCTGTCTTAAAAGAGTTAAATTCTAATTTAAGAAGACAGGCAATAAAATTGTAAATAAATAACTTTTGGATGTCGTTGATGTGATGGTGAGTATGTGTGGAGATTTCTTAGTACTTAAGCTGTTGTCCTTCTTAGTAAAATTGTACATATAAATATAAAGTATAATAATAATCCCTTGTGAAGTCATTCTCAAAATACTTGACAAGTTATTAGTGGCCTCGATACACCATAAAATATGGTAGCTGCTGGCCACATGTGACTATTTAAATTAAAATTAAATAAAAATTTCCAATTCACACTAGCCACATTGCATGCAAGTAGCCACATGTATCTCATAACTACGACCTCAGAAAGTACAGATATGAACATGTTCTTCATTGCAGAAATTTCTGCTGAACAGCACTGGTGTAGATAGCATGAGGCTAATGGGAATTTTTCATCAATGGTAAGAACAGCAGTTTACAATTTTGGCGTCAGGCATTTTACATATGTTTAACTTACATAATCCTCAAATAACCCTATGAGATAGTTCCTGTTACTAGACCCATCTTACAAATTAGGGAAGAGAGGCACCTAGCTTTAATGTTCAATATCAGTCAAGTAATAAGAAATGCTAAGAACTGAAGGCAGACAGTCTGGTGCCAGCACCCACCCTGTTGTCAAATATCTTGATGTCTTGGTATGGAGAAGATGAAGAGAGTGAAGAAGGGTTTTGTGTGGTGGACAGAGTCTCCACAGAAATAAGAAGTGGCCAGTTTTGTCAATGTCTTTGGCAAATACTACCTTTTCGGATCTCCCTGATTCATCCGAGATAGGTCTTATTGCCTAGATGGGGCTGTGCAGGCAGAATCATAGAATGTTAGAACTTAAGAGAACTTTGAAACTATCAAAATATTTCACAAATGAAGAAACTGAGACATTCACAGGTTACCTGACTTACCCAGGGTAACAGAGTAGTTATGACCACAGCCAAAATTAGACCTCATGTTTCCTGCGTGTGTGTGTGCATGCGTGTTTACACATGGCCCCCTTGGCACCAAGAGCATAAAATTCCCTGATGTATTATTAGTTTAAAGACATGCTAATCTTGGGAAGTGATTTTCTTTTTCCCAAAATGTTGTCTGTGTCTGTGTGTTGACCTTTTAATAAATTCACTTTCCTTTTGTCTAGTCTTATTTTACCCACCCAATCTTGCATCCCTCCATCATGACCACAGGGATTCACAACCCAGCTACGTAGACAATTATTTCCTGTAGAAAGGTAAACAAATTCATAGCAGCTCGAGTTCTTACACACACTATTAGAAATTTGAAAAACATGTTATAGGCTCCACCATCACTTTGAGTATCTACAAATTTTGCTTTGCATTTTTTTTTTCTAAGAGAGTTTCTCTCGGTATCGCATCACCACCCTTGTCAGCCACCAACATGCACGCAAAGAAAGCACTGTTGCAGAATGAGTTTCCGTCGAGCTTTTAGTTTCTGTTCCACTGCAAAGGGGTCATACGCGCTCAGAACATAAAGCAGTCTGACTGGCGCTGACAACCCCAGGACAGCAGCCGGCTGGGGCAGTGCAAAAGCTTCATGCCTTCTTCCCCAACCAAGAAGGACTTCAGTTCGAGCCCGCACCGGCTTCGTCAACCGCGAGACCCGAAGTCGTAGACCGAGTCCAGTCCTAGGGAATTCGGCTGAGGCTTTGCCGGCGCGGCGAAGAAGGTGGCAGGCGGCAGGCTGAGCTCCACTGGACACAGCCTAGTGGCCCGGGGCGCGCCCGCTGCACTCCCGGCGTCCAGGTCTGGCGCACCGCGGGAGGCAGGCGCGCTGCCACTCTCCGCAGCCGCTTCGTCCCCTGGTCTGTCTCGCCTCGGCTTCAGCGGGCAAACCCACAGCTGGTCTCCTGGGCGCTGATCTCCCTGCAATCCTTGCTTACATAAGGCGGGCGGGCGTGCTCCCGCCCCCGGTTACCCCCCAGAGGAGTTGTGCTGCGCCCTCTACGCCTCCTTGGCGAGCGCCTTCGCGCACCCGTGCGCCCTACTCTAGGATGTGAACCTCCTTGGCCACCCAGCAGCGACAGCCGGGACATCTCTCCGCCGGCGTGAGAACACTGAGATTGGAGACCAGAGCGCCTGACGGTGCCCAAGCTTCCTCCCTCCGTTCCCTCCTCCTCCAACTCCCCCCACTTCAACCCCCACCCCCACCCCCACCCCCGGTGTCTGTGTGTGTTCCTCACAGGCGAGGGGACCCGGAGAGCAGTCCAGACTTCGGCGTGCGGCGGAGCTGCGGCTGCTCCTGCTGCTGGGGGGAGCGGCGGAGGTGGCCGCCTTGCGCCTCCCTGGACTTCCCAAGTGGGGGCAGAGCAGTCGCTCGCGGGAGACGTCAGTTAGAAGGCATTGGGAAAGAGGGACCTTCAAACTCCTCCTCGGCGTCTCCTCTCCTCCCCCTTTTGGCCCCTGCCTTTGGAGAAAGTGGAGTGTGGCGCTTGGTTGTCGTTATTTCTTCGGACTGCTTCGCGGTGCACGGATTCAGCTTCTGCCCAGTGGGGCTTTCAGCTGTTTGCGCGTCTCTCTGTCCCCCTCCCCTCCCCCCGGCACACCTCTGTCTACGATGAGGAAAGGTCTGCGGGCGACAGCGGCCCGCTGCGGACTGGGACTGGGATACTTGCTGCAAATGCTCGTGCTACCTGCCCTGGCCCTGCTCAGCGCCAGCGGCACTGGCTCCGCCGCCCAAGGTAAGGGGGTCCGCCAAGCTCCGCGGCCACCTCCCTTAGCTTCTTCCTTCCCTCCTTCCTCTCCTCCTCCCCAGTTCTCTTGACTTCCTCAATTTGCCTCGTTGCTTTCAACTGGAAACCACTCTAAATTCCACTTTCCCAACTAGTCAAGAAGCTTTGATTATAATAATAATAATTATTATTATTATTATGTTTAATCTATCTTCTGAGATGGGCACGAATGGACCAGGGACGAACGGGGTGTGGACACGCAGCCGATCCGTCTCCATACGTGTGGGAGCCTGGAGTGTCTTGTGCCCTTTCAGCTCCGCACGCGCACGTTGTTGCATATTGCACACACGGAGGTTTGGAAAGACTCTCGGTGCGGGTGGCTGTGTGACATACCGTAGATGCACCCCGAAGCGCATGATGCGCAGAGGCTCCCCGCGCTGTGCCAAGACTGGGGTAGCAGGATCTTCACTGAGTCTCTGAGCACACTAGACCCCGAAGGGCGCTCAGCTAAGGAAATGTGTCCATTACTGTCAAGGACTCAAAAGCACCCGTCCCCCTCGCCTGCTGCTTCAGGTGCTGTGGAAATACACAGCTCACCCGAATCCGCGTACCCGGCTGGAGGCAGGCCCGGGATGTGCATGCCTCTGCACTCATACATACCCCGCTTCATGCCTGCTTCCCACCAGGGGATGTAGAAATGAAAATCCCGGAGCTCTGGGGGAACCGGCTGCTTGTTCAAACCAAATCCGAAACTCCCCGGGGTAGTCGACCAGTTTATAACTCTGACATTTTAATTTAACGCCTGTGAACTTTAACATAAGTGACCGGGGCCCTGGGCGAAGCCGGGTTGGGAAGAGTGTGGCCGGGAGTTGGGGATGGGTAAGGGAGGAGGGGAGGCTCCGGAGCTGATCGCCCGGCTCCCTTCTTGTCCGCCTAGTTTGAAGTGTTAGCAGCAGCTCCCAGCCTTCAAAGCCGGGAAAGCTGACTGGAAGGGAGCGCAGAAGAAAGAGCCAAGGCTGTCCCCTCCGGGGTCTCTTTCAGGTCACCTGGGCCCCAAAACTTCTGGCCAAGCCCAGCTCCTACTTGGGTCTCTTAGCCCACTTCAGTGGTGATAGCCGGCTCAGGCGAGGCAGCTCAGCTTTTCCTGGAAGAGGAGAGAATGAAGGAAGCTTATGCAGCATTCAGAGGCAATTCAGGGATTCTCCCTTCACTCTCGGTTACTCTTCCTTCCAAATTTGGAGAGTAAAGGGAGGCTTTACGATAGCCCCAACTCCCCAGGTGATGTTCAGACACCCTAGGGTTTCCGGACAGCATTCCCTCTGATCTTAGAGAGGCGCTGGGGGTGGGGATGGGGGTGTTGGAAGCGGAGGAGAGCGCCTAGCATAGGAGTGCGGTCTGGGTGGAGAGGTAAGTGATTAGCAAGGCTTTGTGAATTAGCGATAGCTTCTTCGGAAGTAAATTTTCCTGCTGCCCTGCTAAGTGGCCCTGCTCATAAATCCTTCCTTCCTTTCTCGCCAGATGCCTCCCATCCCTGAGGTTCTGCTCTGGTTTTCTTATGCACACCTCCAGAGTTCATCTGTCTGTCTATTTAAAAAGGAATCTCCACCGAGAATCATAGCTTGTGGATTTCCTAAAATTGATAAGAAGTTCTCAGGGCGCTAGCCAAGGGTGCTTAGAGGGGGGTGTTTGGAAGCTTAAGTGAACAACCTTATGAATAGTCGTGGAATCAACCGCGCGACTCCCTGTGGAATTCGCCTGCTGTTACTGGGCATACAAAGGACTGAGCCATGGGGGTGGGTGGCGGGAGAGGGGGACGGGGCACGGTGAGAGAACTGTTTGGGAAAAAGACAAGTTAAAGTCCCCAAAGATGCCAAACAAGAGATAGGATTCCTGCTAAGAGCTTACAATAACCAAATTAAAAAGACTGGGTAGAAAAAGGATCAATAAAGATAATCAAACAGCAGATTGTAAATGGATTAATATTGAAAGAAGAAGGGAGAAGAGATTAAAAAGAAAAGATGCTTAGGATAGACTTTTTCTCTTGCACTTTTTGTAGCGTAGGCAAGTTAAAGATTGGGGACTGATTCTCATCTTAAGTGGAAAAAGAAAATGTACTCCGTTGGGTGTATGCATTTCACTGCAGTTCTTGTCCATTTCGTTTATTTAGTTCCTTCAGTTTTTGATTAGTAAAATTTTTGTTTGAATCTCATGGTCTGTAAAATGCACTATTCCACCGCTTTTATCTTTGTTATCCTCCATGTTCCAGGGATAGCAGCTCTTCCTGTGTTGTCTGTTAGTTATCAAAGGAAGGATAAAGCACCAAACTCCACTATCAGCTACTACCTTCATCACTGCAGTACAGTAACCCAGCCTGTTTATCTTGAGCCACCGTTAACACTTTCCTTGCAGAATCACACATTTTATAAATGGTCTGATAGTCAGACCTCCTTTTCCTTCTTATTCTTCTTCTTTCTCCTTTCCTTGGACTAGAACACTAGCCCATACCCTCAAGGTATGATTTCCTTGTGGTGATGACTTAAAGATCCAAATGAACTATTTCTTATGAATGAAAGTCCAAGAGCAATTAACATGGGAAAGTTACTTTAAGCACTTTACAATGTGGATGAGGTTTTTATTCTGTTGCTGAAGTACTGCAAAAATTAGAAGTATGTATATATATCTTCAGAGATAATCAAGGAAACAACAGATATTTAAGATAAAACATAGAATAGGCATTATTTGTGAGTGTACTGAGTTTTGTAACTGTGGTTTAGGCAGCAGTCATTTTCAATAGGTCCTTGGGAAATTCTCTAGGCTGTAGGCAACAACTTTCTCCTTTCTGGCTATGCCCTAATTGTTTCATTCAGGATTGCTGGGAACTCCTAGCTCCAGGGAATTTGTAGTGTTTGTGACTTCCAAGAATGAAAGATTTTACTAGTAAAAGGCAGTGTGTGTGTGTGTGTGTGTGTGCGCGCGCGCGCGTGTGTGTGAGATCAGTGTGCTTCTGAATTAGGACCCTCCTGGTTTATAAATGCATTTTATCTGGGCTACACAGCATTGATATGCTGCTTATCTAGCTCCAACTAGTGTTATGAGTGTTAACACCACCAAACTCAGGACAAAAAATTACTGAAGTCTCTAATTAGATTGGGATAATTCCCTATTATCTTAATTCATAGTTTTTTTTTTTAAATAACATATGTCTTCCTACAAAAGAGTAAAAATTCCTTTATGCATGTTTGCATATTGGTGTGGTACAAATAGACAGTCAACAGTGAAGACAACTAAAGTTCATTACAATTCTATCGTATACTTTTTCATTGTAGGAGTACAGAAAGTTTATGAATTCACATTAGGAATATGCAATAAGGAAAAGTAGGCTAGTTTACTTCTGTTTAGAAAAATAATTTTGTGTATTCTAGCTTAGAGAATGCTTAAAATCTTCAAAGAATAAACTTTTCAAACACTTGCAAAGAATTAGGAATCATTAGATTATAACTGACATTTATTGACTCCCTGGACTCCTGTATTCTGGATACTGAGGGTAAAGAGTTAAATAAGACAGGGTCCTCGAACACCTCCTATTGTAGTTTGGAGCTGGTTGTCCTAGTCAGAACTTGTATGGGTCTATTTTAAGCAACCCCCCCTAAGGACATGAACAAGGCATGAGCTCTGCTAAGTAAACCCTGTTAGCTTATTTAGAATTATTGTTGAGACTTAAACATAACTGTTCTCTAATGTATGCTAGGTTCTCCAATTAGTGCCAACAGCAAGTGTGCTCTATTAGGCCTTAACTGCGTTTAACACTTTTCTGATTTAGGTCATGGCTTTGCAGAAGCAGCAGAGGGAGTCACTCTCAGAAGAAACATTAAAATTACAGGCTGCAACCACTTTAGGAAGATAATGGGGAAAATTGTGGGGGTTGAGATTGAGCCAGTGCTATTGCCTTGAAGTTTTAGCCTACATATTTTTTTAGTTTGACTTTTATATTTGTGGCAGTTAAAAACAAACCTGTTCACATTTCCTCACAAATTAGAAACAATGGCTTCTATGGATAGAGTATGGTATTAGAAGTAAAGTTCTTAAGCAATTATTGTGCACTCATATTGCATCCTAGGCTGAATGCTATTTGTTAGAAACGGAATGTAACCAGGCAGTTTAAGCCCTACAGGAAGACAGAAGTAGAACCATGGAATTATAATTCACTTTCTTAAGTATAAAAGCGGACACAGGTATAGTACTTTCTGGATTCAGACATCCGAAGATAGTAAACATAGGTGAAGCTAGGATTCTAATGTGAGTGGTGGGTGGGGGGTTCTAAAATTTCTACACAGAAGAACGTGGGAGCAGTGATTTGGCTGGAAGTTGTATGTTCTTGAAGCTAAGTTTGCGTTGCAACAGCATTTTACTTAGATTTAATGCAAGTTTCATCTGGCTCTGGGGAGGCACAGGCTAAGAGCTGTTAATGGTGTATGCCCATTCTGTCAGTTAACATAGTGATTACCAATGTTTCCTAATACTGCTTCCAGCACCTCCAGCTGTGTGACTATGAGCAAGACATTTAACGTTTCCGTGCCTTAGTTTCCTCATATGTAAAAATGAGGATAATATATACTACAGGTTACAATTAGAGCAGCTTTTAGCTCATAGAAAATAAGTATTATTCCTTGACTTTCAATTCTACAAACCGTTGGCAAAGAAATCTAGATGTAAAAGAAACTAAAGGTCAATAATTTTGAACTCAGAGTGATGATAGCTGCTGACACTGCTTCCCCAAAAGCAAGAAATGGAGCTATCTGAAGAGATGCTGCGGAGTAGATCATTGTAAACTCCTGGACAGAGTACAGTTCTCTGAACAGCCTGTGGGAATCTCATTCCCTTCCACAGTCTCTTTTCTTCCCTTCTGTTCTCTCTGGGAAAATTAACCTAATATTAGTTCTAAAAATGACACGTTAAGTCACTCCCAGTTAAGTCCTTGCAAGAAGCTCGTCCTTGACTTTCTATTTTCTCAAGGGATACTGAAAGATAACTTTTCATAAATCCATGAACACTATTACAGAAAAAAGGTACACCCCAGGATTTCTGATAAGGGTTTGGGGAAAATCAGACCTTTATGTGAATGTGGACAGTTTTTCTTTAAAAGAAAATGGACACAAGTATATACTCTAAAGAACATAATTGGTTTTCTGTTCAAACAAAATAAACATAAAAATAGGTCAACACGAAGGCAAAGAAAATTCACCAGAACTTTCATTTATTCAAACTATATTTGCAATAGGAAGTTTCGTTATCCTAATTTAAAACAGCACAGATAATCTAGATGACATATATTTTGGTGAAATATTTGCATCTAACTCTTATTGTTTAATGGTTATTGCCATTCTTTGCATGTTTGGAGCAAATGTTTTCTGTCAGACTTTTGAGATAAAATAAGAGATTTGTAGGGCATTTTATATTACTTACGGTTTAGATTTTTCTCCTACAAAATTGTCATTCTGCTTCTATTATTGGTTCTGGTTCTGCACTCTTTCTTTTTTAACCTGATTTCTTAAACCTATGTATGGATGCTTCTTTGGTTTCATTTCTTACTTGGATTTGTTATTGCTTATGTATTTGTGGAGGAGGGCTACATGAATATGAGACCTTTGGTATTATTCCAGTATCTCTTAGCTCAAGGATGTTTTACTCACAGAAACTTGGTGCTGTTTTTTAATGCTACTTTGAAGTAGAGTAAGTTTGCCTTGAGCGATATTCAAACACTAGTGTTTCCCTTTTTTCTAGTTTTAAAAAAAGAAACTTAGTAATGGGATAATTTATAGTTTCTCTTATTTTAAATATTTGTTATTTTCAAACTTACAGAGATTTTAATAAAAACATTTTATAGGAACACTTTTATGAGCTAACAAGATCAGAAATAGAAAACTTTTTTTTTTATCCTGTCTACCTGTATGGAGCCACCAGAAGAATTTCTGCCTTTTCATGAAAACCCAAAACATATATCATGTTGCAGATATTTGGACTCTTTATGAACAATATGTTTGAAAATATTGAGCTGAAATTTCAGAATTAAAAAAATAGTTTTGTGTTGAAGTTGTACTGTGGTTTTTTGTTTTGAGCATTGCTGCTCCCCAAAATGTTGCTCATATATAATGAGATTTTGAAATACACAGAAGAATGTTTCCAGATTTTATAAGTATTTAAAACATACCTCCCCTTCTACATGGAGTACATAGTGTTAAAGTTGCCATGACATTAATTAAGTTGAAGTTACAATTTAGAAAGTGAGCTATAGCTTTGAAAGTGCCAAATATGCAGATATTTGTCCTTAGGTCAGTATAGCTTTTATTAGCAATGAGCAGTGATTCAAAAGTGCCTTGTGTGGCAAAAGTGAAGTATAACATCTGAAAATCCCCATGTTTGGTGAATACCCTCTTTTAGTTAAATAACTAAACACATCTTATTGCCAACGTGGTAGTGGAATGTGAGCGTGAGGGGAGCCGGGTGAAACTTCATTATATAGATATGCCTGTTAGAGTTCTTATTTTAAATACCAGGGCTCACAATAATCATATTAACAGATGATATTGATTACTCAGATTTAACACCAGAGTTACCAGTCTTACTTATTTTAAAATGTTGTGAGGATAGGGGGTTTTATCTTCATTAATCATGTTGTCATGTGGATCCTGTGGCTAGTTTCATTTCTCAGCAATTATGAGAGCTATAAAAATGCCTCATGTAGATGACCATGGATTATATCCTCTTCTAACTGACGATGTGAAACAACAGAAACTCCCTCAGCACACTTAACAAGTTCATTGATGCATGCTAGTATTTCTCAGTTTTAGTCAATCTCTTAATTGATTATTTAATCATGGACTGCCTGAACTCTATTCTTATTTATTGTTTTCTCTCTTTTTATTTCTGTTCAGAAGAACCACCTTATATGTGGATATTTCTTTCCAATAAAAACAGAATAGTGCTTGTTTATTAAAATGCATCTACAGTCCAGTTGTAAGGGATATATCCATAAATAGAAATATATCCATAAATAGAAATGCAGGTTTTCTCAAAATTAAAAAAACTTAGAGTATATAATAATATAAAATATAAATATGTAGTACAGAAGTAAAGCACAGCATTTGTAGATAAAAGTGATCATTTTAAATTAATTCATAAAATACATTCTCTTAGATAATAGAAGTTTAGTGCAATCTAATGGGGTACGTGATATAAAAGTATCCACTTATAATTACAAGTAAAAGAAATTCATGTGCAGCAGTCCTTCCTTAAATGCAGGAGATACTTTCCAAGACCCCCAATGGATGCCTGAAACTACAGATAGTATGGAACTCCCATCTACACTGCTTTTTTTTCATCTGATAACCGAGATAACTACTAAGTGACTACCAGGTGGGGAGTCTATACAGCATGGGTACATTGGATGAAGGAGTGATTCATGTCTGAGAGATTTTGTCACGCTACTCAGAGCTCCATGCAGTTTAAAACTTACGAATTGTTTGTTTCTGAAATTTTCCATTTAATGTTTTTGGACCACAGTTGACCTCAGGTAATTGAAACTGCAGAAAGTGAACTGCAGATAAGCAGGGGGACTACTTTACCTTTACTAAAGGTAAAAGGAGCAATTTGGGACTCTTCTATTCTCTATGAATTTGCATATTTGTTACTTGTATTCAAATTCAATATTTTAAATAATTCTAATATCTTTTTGGAATTTCATATGGCCTTAAAAACCCTTTGAAGAACTAGATCAAAGATTATATTTTAGCCAGTGGTATTCCATAACTTTTATAGAAACTAAAAATGATAGTCAGTGAAAAGAGCACTATGTTATTATACATGATTTTTGGAGATCTGTATTATTACTAATCAAAATCAAACAAGTAACCAAATTATTACCACAACAAAAACTTTATGATTGGAAATACAAAGTAAATAATGGTAATTTCACTTTGAACTGTATGTCTATGTGAAATACATTGACATTTGAATTTCGTTTTTGATTAAGGGAAAATGATATATTTTATCTCATTGAATAAAGTGTTTGGCAAATATACACATTGTAGCCGCCCAGTGGAAGTGCTCAAGTTTAGCAAGCAGCAATCTTGAAGTCATTCTAAATGAAACATTGATTATGGTGCCTGTCATTTTATTTAGCAACTTTCCTTTTTCCTTCTGGATCTCCTCTGTAAGATGATGAAAGAATAAAGCTTAAAAATGTGTTAGGGATCAAATTCAAGGATTGAAGGAGGCTCAGACATTCCCCGCCCTGCCTCCCACAGCCATCACCCACAGAGCATGCAGGGTGGTGGAAAACAGAAGCCCATTTGAGTAACTGCTCTCAGAAGCTGAGGAAAAACCGACATGTTCAAATGATTTATTTGTGCTATCCGGAATAGAGACCCTAGATCAGTATTTCATCATAATATTATTCAACAGGCCCTCTGACTTGAAACTTTTACCTAAATAGAGTCTTGATTTGCACTTATTTCAATTAATATAGCAAAAGAATTTGGGAAGTATTTAAAAGGTATAAACTTGTAAGAAGTTTGAATTTTATTGGAACTATTTGGGCAGGATGTGCTTGTTTGAGAAATCTAGATTTAAATCAGTGCTATACTAGTATCCTCCAGGGGTTTTATAAAATGCTACTTCCTAAGCTACTCCGTTAAGAATTGTTGTCATTTTTATTTTTGTTTATATTTATACACACATATATAAATCTGTATAGAATTAAAATGACCACAGTGAAAAATATTATAGTTTATTTACTATTACATGGTAAAAAAAAAAAAAGTAGAAGGATGGCTAGGATAAGTTTTGGCAGTAAGTATGTTTTCCCGGTAGCAAGGGAGAGGAGATCATTTTATTGGATTTATTAGACGTGGTGATCACATGAAAGATACACATGCCATTTTTTATTGAATTAAATAAATATGGAAATATTTCCTGGGAGGGTGTTTCCAGGCCGATTCTTAACGAAATGAAGAATGACAAGGAGAAGACAAATATAGTTCACTAATTCCCTGTGAGCATATATGTGCTTACACAAATTGTATGTGAGTGTGTGTGTTTGTGTAGCTTTTTATGTTTTAGGAGCAAGAGTTCATTTTCAAACAGACTTGGCAATATCCTCAAAAAACCAATGGAGTCTATCAAACCAATGGAAAAAACTTTTTAACTTATAAAACAAATTCATAAAGATAGTCAAGGACTTGAAACTTGGATTTAATCACTGATTTCTGAATGAAGAATTATATCTTACTTTTCTGAGAAAAGTTGCCTTGCTCTTGGCAAATTGCGAAGTCATTTCCCCAGTTTCCAAAGAGATGTTTTTGTCTCATTAGTGCAGTGGCTTATCTGATGGAAACAAGTTCTCTCCTGTCATCCAAGTGACAGAGACTAGGGGATCTCCAC
The DNA here is from genome assembly GCF_000001405.40 of Homo sapiens. Classification (NCBI taxonomy): domain Eukaryota; kingdom Metazoa; phylum Chordata; class Mammalia; order Primates; family Hominidae; genus Homo; species Homo sapiens. Next base: position 95,539,304 of record NC_000004.12, on the reverse strand, counting down.
TTTCACTGACTTGTTTCAAAGCCGTGGAGGAGAACTGCTGTTGTTTTCCTACACGGTGGACTATAATTTGTTGACCAAAGGAGACTGTCGACTTTTATGCATGCAGTGCACGCAGGAGTAAAATCCTTTCTTCACATTTATGAACCCCTCTCTGGGTGCTCTCTGGAAGAGACAGCATGTCCCTGGTAAGCACCCTACATGAGGTGACCTCTCATGTGGGCTGATTGAAGAAGAGGTCAGTTGTACTGTTCTTCTCTGACCAGAATAAAGTGATGGTTTGTTTCAAGCTCTTAATCAAATGGAGTTATGTTTGATTTTCTTGGACACCCTCATATGCCATATTGGTGGCTTTATTTCCAGGTTTATCCATTACTTCCATTTAAAGCTTTATTTAAATGGATGAAGATAAAGTCAATTGCGAGGAAGGAAAGCTTGTTACTAAAGAAAGAATAAACATAATTTTATTCAGGATATAGTGATATATGCTTCCTTACTTATATTCACTACTGTATTAAATACAGGTTAACATATGAATATTTACATAATACATCAATATATAAACATATATTGATTATTATTGTCATACATTCCCATATCACTTGGCATTTTTGAACTAGGATTTTTAAAGTGTGTAAGTAAATTCTAGGATTAAGCAAACTGTTTTGAATGTTTTCTTTCATACATATACCATTCATTGATGATGTGGGGTTTTCATAGTGAAATATGTAGTGCACTGCTAAGAACAGCAAAATAAATAATAATGCATTACAAAGTTTTCAGATTACAAGTCTAAATCCTAATGAGGGAGGTTGCCTGTTTAATGCTGAATGCAAGTTTAAAAAGAGGGTCTTAAAGATAACAGCGGACTCCAGAGTCCTTGAGTTTGTTTTGCATTCAGTGACAGTCACTAAATTAGGGAAAGGAATGTTCAAACAACACACTTGAGGAAAAGTGATTTTTATAGAAAGGAGCCATTTCTGCTAATAGCCAGTAACTGCACATAACCCCGCTGACATTAAAAGTCCATTAGCTAAGCCCAGTTTCAATAGCAGCTGATGCAGTGTCAGCTAAATGTACATTGGAATTTTTTCATATAATGCAGTAATAGCAGTTCTATAATTTTTTTCCCTAAAACTACATACATTAAGTAAAACAAATGTCATCTGATAGTAGTGGCAGGGCTGCTAATAAACAGGCAGAGATTTGTGATGAAACAAAAGTAACAGTCTATATAACAAGAAGATAATAAATAGTAGTGATGGTTTTTAAAGGGAGCCTTTGAGAAAAATCATATGGAGAAGCTTAAGCTGACATTCAGAAAGAGTTGTTTCCATAGAAGCACATATTAACATGAGCTACTTTGAGAAATTTATTTAAAGTGAAGTGATTTTTTTTACTTTTAGCTGAGTGTCTGGTTTTTCAGTGTATTTTGAAACTATACGACGCTCCCCCCACCCCAAACACTGTTATGTGTGTAAATGGGAGAGAGAGTAACGAAATTAGAAAAGAGAGCAAGTAAAAACAGGAATGTGTCCTAATATTTTTAAGGTGATCACTATAATAATCCTTTTGAAAGTAGTATGATGCATTATTGCTGTCTGAAATGAAATTGAAGTTTGACACACCCATATTATCTCCCCCAAAAGAGTTGCTTATATATACATTTTTTCATCTTTTGAATATTTTCTAATCTTCATTTCAATCATCTGAAAGGCAAGAAGTTTTACCGCAAATTTACACTAGTATCCAAAGTTCATTAGTAAGTCGTCCTAACATATTCTCTAGGACAGTGTTCTGCAACTATGAAGCCATTGTGGAGACAAACGAGATTGCTTAGTAATCTAATGTGTGTTGAGAACAGGGCAGTAATTAATCAGTGGCTGTCGTGCTTACACCACTATAAAGTATTACGAGAACCTCCACGCCGACCTTCCCCTCCCCTATTATCAGACCATTAGTGAAGCTCTGTACAAGTAACAACAGTGGAGCCCTGCTTAAGCATATGACCCCAATAGCTTGTGGATAAGCTTTGTGAGCATTTTCACAACGGTCACTTGAATTCTCATTATACTTTCTAGTAGTCAGAATTATTTATTCAATATTCTAACCAGAGGCATCACATCTTTTATTTATTTATATTTTAAAATTAAGTCCATATTTCCTTATATGGGTTTTAAAAAAAAACTCTCACATAACCCATCATTTGTTGGAAAAAGAGAAAGCAAAGAAAGGAAAAGGAAAAGCTTACTCTTAACCGTAGTGGGGTGGCAGAGATTTCCCCCTATGTTAATAGATTTTCATACATGCATTTCTTAATAAAATCAAGAGGTACTCTTTGGTGTTGTTAACTGTTTTAATTCAGTTCAGGCCATTGTAAAAGCTTATTTTGAGTGATTTGGGAGCTTACATGGTCAGGGTTTAAGCAATTAAATTACTAACCAAAATCCCATTTACTAACATATTGCATGAGGGACTTGATGAATAATCTCGTCTTTAGCATATAACTCAAACATTAATAACAGAAGGAAATATGCCTCAGTTCAAGCCATGGGCTTTGATTTTTAATTCTAAACCCATTTTATTTTTTTCAGACTCAAATATCTATTAAAAGTGACTATTTTCCATATGTTTTTCCTTTTGTATTGCATAAAACTTAATTCTATTGTGAAATGAATAAAGAATGTCATTGTATTTGGCCACACAATAAATTTACACACATCTATGAACTAGTATTATGAAACTGAATTATGTTGAAAATAACAAGATGATGCCAGACTGACTGAAATAGGACAATTATTACATTAGATTTTGGAATAGGTTTTAGAAAAAAATTACCCTGCACTGTTAATGCACTGTTACTTTCATGGATAACTTTAAAAGTGTGTTCTTTTTTTCTGTATGAATGACACTAAAAAAAAATATATTGAGTGGCTGGGCGCAATGGCTCATGCCTGTAATCCTAGCACTTTGGGAGGCCAAGGCCGGTGGATCGCCTGAGGTCAGGAGTTCAAGACCAGCCTAGCCAACCTGGTGAAATCCCATCTCTACTAAAAATACAAAAATTAGCTGGGCATGGTGGCATGCACCTGTAGTCCCAGCTACTTGGGAAGCTGAGGCAGGAGAATCACTTGAACAGGAGGCAGAGGTTGCAGTAAGCAGAGATCGTGCTATTGCACTCCAGCCTGGGTGACAAGAGCGAGACTCCATCTCAAAAAAAAAAAATATATATATATATATATATATGTATGTATGTATATGGACTGCCAACACATTAGAGTATGGATTGATCCTTACTTGATTATTTATTATTTATGCTTATAAAACTTTTATTAAAATAGTCTTTAATAACTTTCATTTTTTAAAGTATATCATGGCTGTGTTTCCTTGAGTGAATGCTTTAAGTCTCTTTTTTTCCAGCTCAATCTTTCTTTAATTGCTAGAGAATTAAAAATGTACTGGATGTGTGCATATATTTGTATGTATGTGTGCACCCGTGTGTGCGTGTTTGGATCTGATAATTTCCTGATATAGGAAATGAATCAAATTACTTTGAAAAAAATATTAAGATGTACAACCAAATATATTCATCTGACACCTGTACTGGCCAAATACTAATGGCAGCCTTTATCTAAGTCTCTTGGTAAAGATGAATAAATTGTGCTAAAATATGTCCTTTGCAAATTGCATACAAGTTAAAATCTTAGTTTCACTTCATATTTTCAAGGCGAAGATTCCAATAATAATAGTATTTACATCATAGAATTGTAATTAACAGCGTCATCAAAAGTGAAGAACTGAGAATAGCTCCTGGCACCAAATAACACTTAATGCACATTAGCAATTGTTGCTGTGCCGTTTTATTCTTATCATGTAAGTCTATGCTATACAATGATTTTTCACTTGACGTTACTATGAAAATAATTAGATATAAGAATGACAAAATTGCATTCCATTAGGGTTACCATCAGGTGAAAGAATGTCATATGGACCAATAAAAGCATGTTGTCAAAGGTAAAATTCTTAAAATAAATTGGTATGTTTTAAAATCACATTATTTTTTGTACCCAGTTAGGTTATGAGATTCTGATTTTACAGTAAAACTCTTTGGAAAGTCAACACACTTTTGTTCCAGTTTTATGAATAAGCAAGTTTAGGTGATTTCTTTTTTCCTGTGCCAGGTTCTGAATCTAGAATATATTTCTATAAAACTACTACTTCATAAATTTTAATGAAAAAAATAAGTTTGTGCTTTTCTCCACTGTACATTTGCTGTATTCGTAAAGACAAAAATAATTAGAAAGCAGGAAGAATAGTTAGCAAACTTTTTACCCTTTGCTAACATTTAAACTCTTTATAAAGGAACAGAAACAATTAACCTTCCTCACTGTATCAGAAATTTTAACACAACGAAGTCTTTACTGATACTAGTATAAAAGCAAAAATTAATTAAACTGAAATTTCCAAGCAAGGTCAAAGTTCTACATTTGCGAGGGGACACATTATAGTATAAGCAAAAAAGAAATTAATTAGGTACCCTACTCTTAAATATATATGTTTTGACTGACACATATTGCATTTAATAAAATATTCCTAAAATGGACTAATGAACAGACTAGTTAAACTCTATAGTTTCTAACAAGCATATATGTGTTAATCATGATGTAATTAAGGAGAAGGGAATGGAAAAAATATCCAAAGATCATAGTTCTACTTGAAAATGTTTTCTAGTGTGTATTTGTAAAATGAAAGTGTACTGTTGCTTAAGTAACAACTTTATTTTGAAAAATAATATGAATAAAGAAAAAACCTTTCAGCTACAAAGAATACTCATTCTTATTTGTTTTGGTTCACTGTGACATTTCTTTTATATTTTTTAAAATGTGTCATTGTAAAATTAAAACAAGACAAAACGTAAAAAATTCTTATCTTCAGAATGTGTCAACTTGATAGGAAGAACATAACCCAATATATTTATAACCCAAATTAATGCAATGGTGGATCTTTAGCAAACATAATGTAATAGACGCATTAACTAACTAAATAAACAAGGACAACTCAGTCACCACTTCAGGATGATACCCCCACAGGAAACACTTTAAGTAGGTCTATAAAACTGATTCACTTGTAATTTTCTTTGTCCGAAAATCAGGTTAACACTCTTTTATTTTTTTAGCCCAACCCTCCTCCCCAACTTCCTCAAGTGCTGTGCTGTAGGGAACGTTCCACGTTTAAAACTCTGCAGTCAACAGTATGGTTTAGTCCCTACATAATTATAAAAATGTTTTATCTTTATAGGATATTATTCCATCTAAAGAATCCAACAGAAGCAACTAGAATGCTTTTAATGATTGATTAAACTGCTTATGTGGGGTTTTATGCTACCTAGAACATTGAATTTGTAGGAATTTTTATTTGAAGATTTCCAGGGAGGAAAAAACAAAACAACAAAAAATATGAGACTATTTAGAATCCCTTCTTTCAGGCTATATCTGTGTTGTTTTCTGAAATAAAAACACGCCTCTCAAAAACTAATTTTCTGAATATTAAACTGTCTTAGGAAGTTCTATTGAATGATTACTGCCTTTTTTGTTTTTGTTTTCAAACTAACAAGAACGATGCTTATTTTGTGCCATAATGTATTATTTATTTGCTATTACTTCATCGAGGATGTAGAAGAGCAATTCAGAGAGCCAAGTTATTCAAACAAATAAAGAATTAAATTATTTCCTGGAGTCCCACATATTTACATGTTCACAAAAAATGTAAACATATTCAAACATTTGACGATGTTATATTTAATGATGTATTATTTAATGATATCACATTAAATGATAAAAATTATTTTATCATTTAAAATATTAATAAAATAATATTATTCATATTATTTTTCTTGTTTTTTTCTTTTTTTGAGACGGAGTTCTGCTCTTATTGCCCTGGCTAGAGTGCAGTGGTGCAATCTCGGCTCACTGCAACCTCTGCCTTCCGGTTTCAAGCAATTCTTCCTCGGCCTCCCAAGTCGCTGGCATTACAGACGCCCGCCACCATGCCCAGCTAATTTTTTTTGTATTTTTAGTAGAGACGGGGTTTTACCATGTTGGTCAGGCTGGTCTCGAACTGCTGATCTCGTGATCCACCCACCTTGGTCTCCCAAATTGCTAGGATTACAGGCGTGAGCCATCATATTATTTTTCAAAATAAAGTTGTTACTTAATGATTAAATGATGTTACCTAAATATTTTTAAAAATATGTCCATTTCTCTCAACTGGTTCACTGAAGAAGGTTCTTCCTGCTTCCTGTCCTTTCTCACTCTCCTCAAACCTCCACACTGAAGTCAGGAAAATTCTAAGAGACACCATCAGTAGAACTTTTTTTCTTAAAACCTTTTTTTTTTTTTTAGCTTTACTAAACAGTTACCTTTAGAATATGATCTGAACATCTTACCATGACTGACAGGAGTATTTGTGCTACCCTCTGACTCTATTCCCTGTCATTACAATCTCCCGGACCATGAACCCTCCCAAATTTGGCACAGGCTGTTCCAGTGCAGCCCCAGTAGGTGACATCCTTTAGGGTTTTCTCACAAGCCACCTTGCTCACTTACTATCAGCTTTCGCTTAAGCTCTTTCATTTGCTATGAACAAGTGTTAATTCCTCAGATTCCCTAGTTTAGATCTTCACCCCTTCTTACAGCAACCTTTCCCATCTCACAGGAGCACTCTTCTTTTCCCTGTGTCCCCAGTTGGTAGGCCAGCATGATGAGTACAGGAATTGATGAGTTGATTCTGGTGTCTCCAGGATGTGATACAGCTTTTGGCACACAGCCAGAATGTAATCGGGATTTTTTTTTTTTTTTTAATGATGTTGGGTGAATGCATATTTTGTTGATGCATACATAACGCATCTTGGAAGGACTTTGAGGACTCAGGTTGGTAAAGTTCATTGAAACTTCCCAGGTTCTCTTCATCACCCACTTTGAGAGTTACTAGACAGAGCAAGGTGAATGTGAAGTTGTAGGTGGAAATCAAGACTATCTCAGGAGTGAGTGCTTCCCATCTCTTAGATTCTAGCTAAAAGGCCAATCTCCTCACCCTCAGAGATCCATCTCTAACTTCAGACTTTCTACCCTGTGATTTGGGACTATTAACTAATGAAGAACTTGGATTCTGTTGTAGTTGAGCAAATAAACCCCAGACAATTGATGTGTAAGCATTAAGAGCACGGTTGGGCTCTAACTGGTTTGGTCAATTTTGATTTGGTCAATTTACCTAAAGACAGAATTGGGAATTAAAGAGGTGTACAAGTCAAACAGCACTGCAGTACTGCCAGAGAATCTTTCCTTTTATTCAACTGTAGAATTCTATCTTATGGAATATTGACAAAATACATTGACTTTCAAGTTGAGTGATGAAATTTTGTTCTATATTGGGGTTATTGTTGTGCCAAAAATCACCCTATGGTGTATTTTTCATTTTTCTCCACTATAAAGTCAACAAGTCTCGTGCAGGGCACAATGGTGTGAGTGTGAGGTGGTGGGAAAGGATGCCTATAGGAACAGGGGTAGAGTAGTAAAATAAAGAAAAATAAATATGTTTTGGAGTACATATTAAACCCAGTGTTTCCCTGTAATTGACTATTGTCTGAAAATTCTTTTGGTAGGACCACAGCCTATTATTTTTGGGCAGGATATTTTGATTTTTTGACAAGGAAATAGTACAGTGAAATGTATCATTATAAGGTGTTATTGAATAAAATATTCTCATAAGCACTTTTAAGGTAACCAAAATATGTTGTGGATTATGCTACACTGCTAGCAAAGAGGAAATTATAACAAGTAACTGCTTCTTGTTTCCTAAGACTTCAGTAAACACAGACCCAACTTGCCCTGCATAATTACCGCAGAGAGCTGTGCACTGGTCTTTAACTGGTAGTTGTTTGTAATCAAGCAGCCTGAATCTTGCTTTGACATAAAGCAGAGGAAGTGGTTAGGAGACAGACCTGTAATTATCAGCAGCAGGTGCCCATAATGGAATGCCAGAGAGATGTTTAAACATTACTTTAGGAAAGACTTCAAGACTGTCAATTTAGACCAAACAGCATTTAAGGAAAAACTGGCTTGAAAACAGTCTTAAAAGAATACTTCTCTGGAAACAAAGAAAAATTTAAGAATCCCATTAATGCAAGTTAACTTAGTCTTTCTTCCATACACCTAAATACTATTAAATTATGAAGTCTAAAACAAGGCTGGACTCCACTTTCAGAAAAGGGATGATTTAACAACATTAGACTTTCCGGTTATTAAAAGGTTTATTTATGATGTAAACAAAGCTTTGTTCTTTATTTTAGTAAGAATCACATGAATATATTGGATGAATGACACACTTCCTTTTTTAAATTAATTTTGATGGTTTCAAAGGTCATCGAATCTTGATTTCATATTCATATATGACCAAATATATTTACTTGTCAAGTGCTGCACAAAAATGCACCTTTCAGCAGCAGTTTTCAATTTTCACTTTTTTTTCTGAAAAGTCCTTTCTAAATACAACTTATGAAGAATAATAAGCCATATGATAAGATGCTGTATCTTCGATAGAAACTTGTAATCATGTTATAAAGGAACTGTTAAATGTCAATTGATGATGCCAGCACCACTTTTAGAAATGCACTTAGCGTTGTTATTTTGATAGTGCAATATACTTCAATATTTCTCTCAAGCTATGCACTACTGTGGTTAGTATTAACTTACAGGAAATTCTGTTGTATGAGGCATAGACTAAAGAAAGCCAACAAAACATAATTGCCTTGGTAGTGTTTTGCATTTTTAAATGAAGAATTTTATTTTTCTTTCTTTTCCAAGTAAGAATACACTTTTGTGTTTGTTTTTCTGTTGTGGGAGTGAATGAACTTTGTGGAACTGAACACCTCCTAATGGAGAGGGGAGTCATGATATATCTGTATGACCCCATTCATTACCAGATGTGCTTAGCATATATTTTTGGAAATACTTATTTTCCTGCCTAATGCTAACTATATATTTATCATTATGAAAACAAATGGAAAAGTCAATCATTCACTGCACTTGCCAGAAATGCCTTCAGCTCCCACAATAGTTATATGTCAGAATCTTGCCCCACTTAAAAGCAAGACAGAAAATTTATTCTGGAAATTTACCAGGAGAGACCAACCCTCAAAAATGTAAAGGAAAATATCTCTGTAGCTAAATAAAAATAAACTTAAGTCACACTTGATGCATTACACTTAAGATAGCCCCATCTAAAAATATATATGCAAGTTGCAGAGCATTTCAGTTGTTGTTCAAAGTGGACACCAAATATGGAAGACAGATTCAAGAATTACCTAAACTTCGGTGGATTAAAAAAGGAGTGTAAAATTTTTATGATTTGTCATTTGTCTGCATATTTTGACTTATTTGGAATTCTTTTTTCTTACATTGTCAAGTAAATTAAACTAAGCCTGACATTAGGCACACAGTTTATGTAGTTGTAACAAAGCATCAAAGTAATTGAATTCTCGCTAGGGAATTTTTAAATTAATTTATTATTACCATTTTTTTTTTGAGACAGGGTCTCGCTCTGTTACTCAGGCCGAAATGCAGTGGTGCGGTCACAGCTCACTGCAGCTTCGACCTCCTGGACTCAAGCAACCCTCCTGCCTGAGCCTCCTGAGTAGCTGGGACCTACAGGGATGCACCACCCTGCCTAGCTGATTTTTTAGTTTTTTGTAGAGATGGGGTTTTGCCATGTTTCCCAGGTTGGTCTTGAGCTCCTGGTCTCAAGCAGTGTACCTGCCTGGGCTCCCAAAGTGCTGAGATTACAAGCATGAGCCACTGCACCTGGCTGGTATTCTAAAATTTATATGAGGATAAATGTGACTAGAAGTATAGATGTGGAACTTTGTATATATATATTTTTTATGTATATATATAATATATATATACACATATATACATATAAATATATATACACATATATACATATAAATATATATACATATATACATATAAATACATACATGTAATGTATTCTCTCAAATCACAATTCAGTTTAGTTTTTTTAATGGAGGAAAAAAATCAGTACAGCTGAGATGAATCCAATTCTGGAAGTATTAGTTAGTATATCCCATAGAGAGAAATGAGACAGAATAGCATAACATATGGTACCTGCCTTTAAGAAACTTAAAATCTTGTCAGGATGATAAAATATTACAGATAAAATGTATAAAATCATAAGCTGGTAAACGGATATGAAAAAAATGAATAAAAATATTTTGGAAGAGATTAAAGGAGAGATAAATGTGCTTTGTTAACTTTCTGCTGGAATGAACTATTACCTAATTTTCAGAAAAAAAAATCAAGTAACAACTTTCATTGCCTTTAATAAGAACTGTTCTTTTAACTCACAGAGGCTACTGGAAGTGTTTTGTTACAGCCATGTACAGTTATATCCTCTCATCGCCTCTTTCCATTTTCTTCACCTTTCAACTTGAGAGCCTATCTTCCCTGGGGCCTCTCCTTTTAACAGCTCTTGTCTTTACCTTGAAGTGGGGAGCTGCACAGAGTCCCTGTCTCTAATTTCTTGAGTCGCTCTCTACTTGGCTCTCCCAGGGTTATACTACATTTCTGCAGTGCAAAATGGGCCTCCAATCCAAATTTAGCTGTTTTATTACATACTCTGTAGCTAAGCCACTTTAGGCCAGACATTACCACATCTCTCAGCAACAGAGTTTGAGTTTGTCAAGTTGTGCACATTTGTTGTCTCCTTTAAAATACAGTTTTACGTCTTTTAAAACTTGTTTGGATTTTGAGTAATGGTCTCATTGGTCCTCTGATGTTTACAAAATGATGTCAGTGCTTGAAGGTAAATGGTGGCAACGTTAGATATTTCTCCTTTTCCTTGAAGGCCGTATGAAGGGAGGGAGACCCCAGTGCATGAATCTCCATGGGTGCGAAAATTGATAGAGTTAAGCACAAGCAGCCTGTAGAACTACTTCAAAGTCAGTTTTAGAAATTTCTATAATTAACTAGAATTCTTCAGGTAAGTTCAAATCAAAGGGGCTAGAGGACTTTGTATGAAGGACTCTGAAAATTAGATTTTAAATTCAAAACATAAGAATGTTTTGCCTAACAGCTTTCACAAATAAGTTTCAAAACATAAACAGATTGTTAAGAGATATATATTAATTTTAAATTTGATCATGTAATAATTTTTAGAACTGCAATTTCCTTACTCTGTAATCCTCCCACTAGTAAAAGCTTTTTGAACTTTTTCTTATGTCTTTGTCATTTGGAAAAACTAAGAGTATTTTTAGAGTAAACAGTGTATAGGATGCCCATGAATATTTCTGAAGCTCTGGTATTTTCTAGTTTTAGGAATAGGAATGTTGAAAACAAAAATGTGGGAGGAATATAGGGGAATAGTGTAAAGTGATTTTGCAATATAGTGTCAGAGCCATGCCTGTGGTAGGCTTTTATTAAAAATTTCTCCATCAATTGCATTAAAAAAGTAAAGAAACTTCATATTCTAGATTAATAAGAAAATCACCCCACATTCTCTCAAATAAAGTTTGCATAATTCCTATGAAATTGCATTCTTTTCATTTGGCATGGAAATTATATGTCCATAAAAATAAATTTCATTTTTCTTTAAATAGGTAAAAATAGTAATTACAAAAGCAATTATAAATCTTTACTATGTTAAATATATATGCACACAACTATGTATTGAATTGACAGCTATATGATAGCAACATAAAGACCATGAGGAAAGACGGAGGCTGAGAAATACTCCAATATTTAAAAAAACTCAAGTTTGCACAGCTTACCAATTAAGTATCAGGAGTCTTTCTTTAATTTATCAAATCAGTTTGGTCACACTGATCAGAAGTCCTGATTTGCAGTTGTATATTTTTGTGATTTAAAGTGAGTTAATTTATTATTTCCCAGTAAATGCAATTTATTAAGCATGAAGTATAAAACAATGTCAAAGGCAGGAAAAAATGTTTCAAAGTCCTAAGTGAAGTAAAATTAGGCAAATACTATTAACGTGTGTGATGCGTTTTTGTTGTTACTAATATATTGGGAATTGAAATTGACAGCATCTCTTGAGTTCAGTTAATTTTTGTCACTGGATTGTAAAAGTAACTTGTTTGAGGATCTTCATTTTTAGGAAGTTTGTGAATAGGGTAAATGCATGGGTATATTAACTCATTTAAATACAGAGTTTTGCGTTTGATTTTTAAAATATTGTCACTTAACTTGAAACTTTATCCTAAAAAGCTATCATACTATGCCTGTATTAAAGACATGTTTTGCTTTGTATTATTGGTTTCTTTTAGTGCTACATATTCTTTTAATAAAATTCAACTTTCAGCTAATTTTATTTATTAAGGACTTAGTAGAAATAATTATTCTTTTGTGTTTTTATTGTTACTTTGTACTATTGGTAACACAACCATGTTAAAATCATTTTTTTTCAATCCACATGAGTAGTTTCATAGAAATACAGAACAAAATTCACATTGTGAAACATATTTTAAATTTGGGAAATGAGAAGACCATTTAGGCCCCATATTCAACTTTTTTTTTAACTTTAATTCATTATACAATGTTTAGAATATAGTTTTTTGTGGTGATTATTTAAATACTCTGGGATTTAATTTGCCTTTGAAGACACAAATTAAAAACTTGATAGATAATGGAAATGAGACATTTGTATTACTTACTAATTTGGTAATTTTAACCTATTTCTGGCCATTTTTTGTTATTGCTTAGTAGACTTAAATTTAAAGTATAGCTTGACTAAAATTAGTGTGGAAGAATATTTATTTACACTTTGTATTGTAAATCTTCCTTTTAGAGCATTTTCTTCAACAGGTTCATTCTTATTAAACCTACATGTCTGTCTATCTACAGCGCTGCATGAAAGATTGGGTGCATTATAGTGACTCAGAGGTAGGGAGACCACATAATTTATTGCCTAAATTGGGTCATTTTTGTGCAGGAAAGGGAAAGTTATTAATAATTGTTCCTTTACAAGTATAAACTGAGATTGTCCTGGGTAAACAAGATGGATAATCACCCTACCAGGACACTGCAAGATCATGTAATACCTTCTTAATCACTAGGGGAAAAGTTAGATCATGCTCACAGTGGATTTAGAATTAAATGTACTATATTCTGTGTCTTTGAAAAGTCGTTGCCCTTTCATGAATTTGAAGAAAATAATTGATTAGTCAGAACAGTTATCTTCTTGCCCATGTCAAATAACAGAGTATGCTTTACCTGTGCACCTTTAGTCTTTCATTAAGCCTATTCGAATTTTTAAAATTAAATGTGTTTTAGAAAGTAACACAGTTGGCTTCTTATGACAGATGATTTTTCAAAAAGCCTAGAAATTAAGATTTGTTAAACCGGGAACAAGACAAACCTAGAATCTATTTTGCCAGAGTTGATATAGCCCCCTTACCTCCCATTCTTGTTAGCTCTTATTCCACCACTGGGAATTGTCACTAATTGACTGTCACTTTTGAGTAGAGTAGTTACTCTATACAACAACAGAACACAAAACAGAGAAAACCTTGACAGTAACTTTCTGTAAAGTTTATTTGCTTGACACTTCCACATCCAGTATCTTGGACTTTGGCAAGATATATTAGCTGTGTATGTCTTTTTTTTTTTTTTTTTTTTTTAAGAAATAGGCTTTGCACACTGCTATGAAAATTGAATATGGGTTTTTTAATGTACTGTCTTAGGTGAGAACTTGAGTATCACATTTCGAGTTACATGTATTTCACATCTTTTTATCTTGTGGGATTTACAAAAATCATTTGATTAAAAATTTCTAGAATGAAAAACACCAGCATAAATCTTGACTGAATAGAAAGAGTGAATAATGATAAGTACCTGGAGTCATGAGTTTCAAAACGTAGTTCTGCAAAGTTATAAGAGTATATGGCTGGAATTTTGCTCAAAGAGAATTATAAAGCAGATATAATTTATTTTAGTACTTGAGCATTCCTAGGTATTTTAGGCAGAAGAATAAACTTGAGGGAAACAATTAGTTCTATTTACTCAGTTAGAACTAATGCATTAGGCCAGCAACACAGGGGAGTGCATTCTCAGAATTGCTGCTCTTATGTATGTTAAACTTCCTTTTGGCATTTGAGCTTCCAAATGTATCCCATCAACTCTGTGTGCAGTGTTTCTTTTTTTGACAGGAGCATTTGGAGGGAGGGCTTTCTCTAATTCAACCAGGCTTCGGTGACCCATTAATTTGGCATCATTTTTAAAAAAGAACAAATGAGAAACTGAAACCCAGATGGGGAACTGACTTGCCTTGTGTTCAGAAACTTGACCTACCCAGAACATATATTTTACAGATGAGGAAACAGACCCCCATAGAGCTCAGAGTTCACACAGGAGTTAATGTAGAACTGGGGCTACAACTCATGTTCCTTGGCTCCCGGTTCCAGCTGCTTTCTACCACACAGCACTGCATCTTCAGCTGCCCCCATGCAGATTTATATTGCATGCCTCTGAGTCTTATGCTTCCTTGGCAAACCAGGCAGTCGCAAGCTCCAGTGCCTACTGGGACCAATGAGGTTACGTGAGTAAGTGGGCTGAATGTAGTACAACAGATTCTGCTGGAAAGTGTGGTGATCTGGAGAGCACATGTCCCGTCTAAAACAAAAGACTCCAGGTTCTCACTGCAGGAATATGGGCCCAATATGGTGGCAGCTTCCAGTTTTCCAAGAAAACCCAGATCTCAATTTTTATTTTAAATGTCTTATGCAGGACAGGCCAAAGAACATGCATGCAGGTGGATATTTGCCAGCTGCCTGACAGATTGCAGCCTCCACTTAAGTGCATGTTTCTTATCTCCCTAACAGCAGCAATAATAATCGCCCCTGTTGCATAAAACATGCAAGGCATCATTTATGTCTTATCTCTTTTAATCCTCACAATAACCCAGAGAAGTGTTGAAGATGAGGCACTGAGGCTCTACCAGTTTGAAGTAATGTACCAAAGTCAAACTTAGCTAAATGCAGGGTTAGGATTGAAACATAGATCTGTCTGATCCCACAGCTTTCAATCTTACCCTAACACCCTTAGCCTTCCTGATGCTTCATCCATTGCTGGTTGAATTAAAGCTACCAAAAATCTATAGAGTTTTTCAAAGTCCATTTCAATTCAACTTTTCCAACATGTTTTTAAACGTGTATTGAATCATCACTATGCAAAAAGGATTGTGTGCTCTGAAGAGGACCAAGATAATTTCTAGAATTTAAATCACTTCTCTCGTGCATTAAACTTCCAACTGCTCATTTTGTTGGCTTCTACTTGGGCTGACATCTATTTCTTCTTATTTTTCTTCCAGGAAAAAAAATCAATAAATTATTTGTGAACCTTTTATAGAAATGGAATTAAAGCTTTTAAAATTTTTATTAGGGGATTGATACTTTTGACATTTATTTCTAAAGGTAACATTGTTTGAATTTGATTTATTATGTATTTGGTAATTGGAATGCTAAGTGACTACGTTTACATGTGTTTTTTTGTAGTACATGGTTTTAACAGCAATTGTAAAAATTATTTTGTTATTAATTATCTTGTTCTTTCAACTTCCAATATAGCAACATCCTAGTCACTTTGGTGAAACTAGCAGAATAATTTTTTGAAAATTGATTTCTAATATTTTTATTATTTTTTCTCTCTCTCCCTCTCTAGTACAGCCATGCATTCTTTCACAAGCTATACCCCTAATCAGTTGCATAGACACGTTTCATTCCAACTACAGTCATAACTTTTCATCTATCCTAGTGCCCGTTTCTGCTACGTGCAGAGATGATCAGTTATGTCAAAAGAAAGGTGATGGGAAATCTCTAAGGAATGGACACACAGTGGATGCTGTTGCTTTCCTGTCCTATCTCCTTTACTGGCCCAGTGCACACATCCCCCAGCTGCTGTCCTGTTGGCGGCTAAAGGCTCACAGCTGCCCCCTTCTCCCCTCTCCAAGGAATCTCCTTTGACTGAAGCAAGAGCTGCTTTGCCTGGTAGGTTTCCTCAAGGTGAGAACAATTCTGTTGGGCAGTTCATGCTCCAGAGGGTCCAGAGGCTTGGTGAGGCTGAAGCTTGCCTCTGGTGGAGACCACATTCTTGCTCAGCCCCTCCTCTGCCCTATCCTGACCATCTCACTCTCCCCCTTTCCTGTGGGTGTCCCTAGGTGAGTC
Source organism: Homo sapiens (assembly GCF_000001405.40). Taxonomy (NCBI): domain Eukaryota; kingdom Metazoa; phylum Chordata; class Mammalia; order Primates; family Hominidae; genus Homo; species Homo sapiens. The sequence goes on along the minus strand of NC_000004.12, from coordinate 95,523,055 downwards.
ACATTCACAGACTCCCTCTGTGGAGCTCTTCTTTTAGGGAATCCAGGCAAAGATAAGACAAGGTACCCATCAGTGTTGATGAAACACACTGTAATTTTCTAGAAAATGTGCCTGCAACTGTGGGGCACTTTCGTTTCTTGTGCTTTGCTCTGGTCCCTGGCATTGCAGAAGACCAGAAACCACAGATCTTGGAGTGTTTGAATAGAACAATTACGAGAACATGTGACATAGAATACAGGATAGTCTCCCCAGCAGTTCCAAGCACAGATAAAAACTCACTATTAGGAGAAAAAGAAAGAAGAGGTTAAGATTAAAATATTGTAATGATTTCAAAAATTATTCTGGGGACTATAAAGCCCTTTGTATTGAAGGTTAATGGTGATAAGAGAATTTACTGTGATTTTAGAGGTTGACTCTCAACTCTGAACTTTTAAAGACTAATTAAAAAGTCAGGATACTTTCTTTTCACCATTGATTTTTTTAAGCTTTTTTTTGTGTGTAGGTTGCTTTTCATGTTAACTTCTTCATAAAGATGAAATTGTTAAAATTTTAATATAACCTCTCATTCTGTAATTTCTCTCCCTCTCTTCCTCCCAAACCTCTTCTCTCTCTCCCTCATGTCTCTCTCTCATGCACACCTGTGTATGCTTTTACTTTTATATCTTCATTCAGAATAGCTTTCATCCAGCCTAATCTATTTTTACTGAAAGAAATATTAGCATTGCACTTTAAAATCGATTGTTTAAAGCTCCTGCCCATTTGGAGGGTACCAATGTATGAACAATTGAGGATTTTATATTTTAAATTATTTTATAGGAAGGGTATTTTCCAAACTTTTAAAATATAGAGTATTAGAGTATTACTTAATATATAGAAATAAATAATATAAACTATACCTTTATACAATGTTTAAATAATGTCTTTTGTCACATGCATCTGTTCAGCCAGGGACTTATTTGTAGATGATCTTGGAAAATTGAATACGATTTACTATATACAATTATATTAAACTAGAAATAAATTAGTGGAAGAAATATGGTCATATTTTTTTCAGAAAAAAGAAATGCACATTTCTGACATTTATTTTCAGTTTGATATTCATTAAGTTGAATTACACAATTTGTAACTGCCAGTTTTCTCATTCACCAAGCCAAGACCAAATTGAATGATAAAATTAAATAGAAAATTATGTTTACTTTTTCATAATTGCACCATTTAGTGTTATCCCTTGCATTCTGTGATATATAAAAATGGATAGGAACTTTAAAAAATATACAGTCATTTCTTTTTAGAGTCCACATTTTTGGCAAGTATTTTGGAAGGTTTATGAATATCTACGTAGCTTTCTCACATTTTTCCAATGGATGTTTGCTATGGACTGAATGTTTGTGTCTCTCCACAATGTGTATGTTGAAATCCTAAGTCCCCAATGTGTTGGTATTTGGATGTGGGGTCTTTGAGAGGTAATTAGGACTAGGTGAGGTCATAAGGATGGACCCCTGATGATGGGAATCAATGCCCTTATAAAAAGAAGAAGAGGCCAGGCGTGGAGGCTCATGCCTGTAATCCCAGCACTTTGGGAGGCCGAGCCAGGTGGATCACCTGAGGTCAGGAGTTCAAGACCAGCCTGGCCAACATGGTGAAACCCCGTCTCTACTAAAAATACAAAATTAGCCAGGCATGGTGGCACATGCCTGTAATCCCAGCTACTCGGAAGGCTAAGGCAGGAGAATTGCTTGAACCCAGGAGGCAGAGGTTGCAGTGAGCTGAGATTCACGCCATTGCACTCCAGCCTGGGCAACAAGAGCGAAACTCCACCTCAAAAAAAAAAGAAAAAAGAAAAAAGAAAAAAAAAAGAAGAAGAAGAGACACTAGATCTCTCTTTCTGTATGTACCAAGGAAAAGCAATGTGAGGATATAACCAGAAAGAGCCCTCACCAAGAATCTAATCATGCAGGCATCCTGGTCTCGGTCTCCAGAACCATAAAAAATAAATGTTGTTTTAAGCTGCCTTGATTATGCTCATTTGTTATAGCAGCCTGAACCCATTTAAGACAATGTTTCTTGGAGGGGTACTAAGATAGAGAGGGGCATCATTATTTTCCCAGGCTACATAGGAACAACAGGTACCCAGGTTACAATAAAGAGGATATACTAGGCCGGGCGCGGTGGCTCACGCTTGTAATCCCAGCACTTTGGGGGCCGAGGCGGGTGGATCACGAGGTCAGGAGACCGAGACCATCTTGGCTAATGCAGTGAAACCCCGTCTCTACTAAAAAAATACAAAAAATTAGCTGGGCGTGGTGGCCGGCACCTGTAGTTCCAGCTACTCGGGAGGCTGAGGCAGGAGAATGGCGTGAACCTGGGAGGCAGAGCTTGCAGTGAGCCGAGAGGGCACCACTGCAGTCCAGCCTGGGCGACAGAGGGAGACTCCGTCTCAAAAAAAAAAAAAAAAAAAATACTAGATAGTTTTTCTGAAAAATGGTTTTTAAATGTGGCTTTCTTGATGGCTCAAGAAATTGCAGCTTCTTTGTTCCATTTCAGTCATTTATCCAAAGAGATAATGAATATCTCCTTAGGCGAAAGTATTTATATCAGAGTTCAGATACAAACTTCCATCATATTTTCACCATTATGCATTTTGGAGCTTGTCACACCAACTAATATAACCTGACAAGTACAATGAGTCAATCGGTGTTAAAAAATGAAAAATGTTTAAGTGTTGAATTTTACTCTTGACTTATATTTGAATCTTACGGTAGATAATCCTTATCTTTTAAAATTAATTGTATTATCTTGAAAGAATGACACGACAAAATATCAATATACTTACAAATATATTTTATATTCTATTTTTAGAGGTGATATGATCTGTAGAAAGATCTAGAGATCTCTTCCTAGGTTGAGTATTTAGAGACTTGATAAGCTCTGTGACCTTGGGAAAGTCATTTTACCTTTTTGGAGCTTCAATTTCTTCATTGATCTCAAAGTGTTTGGAGTGTTGCGAGAGATTCCTACCTACTTCCTCTTAGCGGAAAGCATAAGAATCCATCTTGCTTTGCTCATTGAATGGTTTTGTATAATTCCCAGTGGTTCAGGCACTGAATGTCTGGGTTAATGACTCTTTTGGGAGTACAGCTTCTTCATTATGAAGTCAGCATGTTCCAAAATGTCTTTATAAATCATCTCTATTAAAGATGCAGGCATTTGCAGTTATGCAAGACAAAAATACCTTCAGCTATGTTTGCAGTTTAGGTTTGAAGGAAAGTAGGGCAGACAGTGGGAGAAATGGGAAATCCATAAAAAGTCTTCCCTTTCTGTTCCCTTATGCACACTGGGCAATTAAAACACATTTAATTGATTACTCTTCCAATTAATTCCATCACTAGTATTGACAAAAGAAACTGTTTGCTGTGAGGCAGTTAAGCAGGTAAGTTGAATTTACTTTAGTCCAATGAGTTCCAGTCAAAATGTTGCCCAATCAGCAGCTGAAGTAGGAAAAGTTTGTTTTTTTTTTTTAAATGTGCTAATGTGTGCTTATGTTAGCTTTTCTGTTGAAGTTTTTTGAGTTAACAATGCAGTGTTTTGGGCCGTTGGTCATAAATAATGGTGTTGGCAGTGATGATGAAATAAACTTGGGTCCATTCTATGGGTCTCTTAAGGGGGAACATCATTTAATCATTCTGGAATGATCAGAGTGGTGTGATGGCCTCTAAAGAGGTCTCTGGTTTCCCCTCCAGATGGATTCTTATTCCTCTGGGGTCTTCAAGGTCATGCTGACCTTATTGTAATAGCTAGATACCAGGTCCTATTGCTGAATGGGCCTCAGATGTCAATTACTACTCCCCTAGAATTTTTTTTCTTAACCCATGCTTGCAGTTTAGCAGACTACTCAAGCATCATAATAAAATTCTCTTTAACTCTCTATACTCTATGTCTTGAAGCAACATTTCCCAAATGTTGATTTAACCATGAAGCAAGTTTCCCAAAGTATGGTCCATGGAACACTAGTCCTGAAGGGTGTAATACCTAATAATCCATAGAAAATAGAGACTTTCTCTAGTCAAGTCCCTCCCAACCCCAACTCTGAGCTTCAAAATGAAATTCAAATAAGACACTTTGGGAAGTAATACTTTAACTTTATTCCAATCTCTCTAGTTCTGTAGTACCAAGGTATCCAAGTCAACGTATTTCTCACTAGATCCTCCTTTAAAAAATATTGTATAAGCTTACTTATAAGGACTTAAATCTTTGGAGAGCAACCTCTTCATCAAAGAGATGTTAATGTTTTATTTAATTATACTTTGAAATCAAGTAAACCTCACACAAAGTAGATCTTGTTTGATTGCTTCTTTACAAATGAAATGAAAACATGTATCTTAAAGATAAATGCCTGAAAAGCATTTTTAAAGTGAAATGATTGTTATTCTGCATATTGAAAATTATGTATAAGTCTCTTCCAAGGTGAACTACTGGAGTCACAGTTAATTTCCTAGGCCTTTCTCCGTATTTATCTATGTAACATTGGGACTTCAGATAGTTTTCTGTATAAATATGCATATTTAAAGTCAATTTAAAAAATATTTTGACTATATTTTGCAGCATAATTATGAAATCAGATTTTTCCATTTATATTATAGTTTTACAGAGTTTACATCTTCTCATTGTATATGGAGTCTTGTCTTTAGTGACCTCTTCTTTAGGTTACAAAATTAACAGATAAATGAGGTGTTGCTAGAAGAAAGGGAACAAGGATCATCTTTTTGTTCAATGTAAATATTGGGTGCTAGATAGTCCATGATTTATTTGGAGTGAGAAAATGGGCCTTGTTTTTTCAGACACTATCCCCAGTGACACATAGGCCAAACATAAAGGAGATTGCCTACCCTTAGTTCTGGAATTCTGATGGAGCAAGGCCTTCTCTCTGGTGCTTTATTAGTTCTTGGACAAGGACTGAAGGGTTATGTTGAATAACACGTTCACTATCTCAGTCTTTTCTCCTCATTAAGGAAAAAAGAAATCTGCCATAATGTGATCCATGATTAGAGTTAATGCAGTCTCTAACGTCTCCCAGATGTTTTAACGTCACTCACGTCACTTGCAGAGTTTATAAATGTGATTTGTCTACTGGTTTATTCCTTTTTGTAGCAAACATTATCTTTCTGCTTGAGAAAAAAAAATCTAAATCAGAGACTCAATGAGTTACTTAACATAATTTACAGCGTGTTTAGAAACAGTGCTAAAATGCAGAGTATGTAATCAATGGCACATTCTCATAAAGAATGTATTTGCACTTTGTAACAGAAACGTGATCATGCCAAAATGACCAGATGTCTCTTCTTATTGGTATCCCGTTTTTTGGTACTGTGCCTCCATTCCAACTTTTCATGGCCATAAAATATTTTCCTTTATTTCAGTACAGGGTTGGGAAGGCTGTAATCCCAACCTGGAAGAGTATATCTTTGCAGTATTGGGTTACAAGTTTAATTTTCAAAATTGTTATCTTTATCCTGATTTTTTAGGAGCATTTCAATAAGATTATCCTTTTTTGTTTAAGTTTCTGCATGCATTGGTTCAGTTTTTAGTTTTGTGTATATGTGTTTATGATACAGATGGGACTCCCTCTTTTTCCTTTCATTGTGTGTGCTAGGCACCCTACCTCAGGTAGTCCGATATTTATGCATAGTCAGCCTGAATCCAGTATAAGGTCACTGGGAGTTAGAAATCCCCTAATTCATGGATTAAAACATAATTGAACAACAGATGAAGAAGATGCAAATTTCAAGAAGTAAGAATTGTATTTGGAGGAAGCAGGGATTTTCTGAGTTGGATTTGAGGAATAAGATAACAGTATCTTGCATTTAAATAACAGTTTAATATTTTTATCATTATTATCATTAATCGTTGTTTGTATCTCGCTTTACAATTTTTAAAGCACGGTTCATATGCTATGACATTTGGCCTTCACAGTTAGTTTTTGAGAAAAAGAAACAAAATTGATGTTATCCCTAGTTTACAGAAAGGAAACTGATCAGTGAGTGACTGAGCCATGAACACATCCTTCCCAGTCTGTGCTGTTGCATGACATCATGCTCCCCGGAAGCCTCTATCCTGGGGACTTCAGTTCCCTTTTCGTAGTGCTCTCCATGTGTATGTACAACAGGAAACACGGTAACTTGGCACTCGCTGTAGGTCCTTTAGGGCACACAGGAAGTGTCATTCCAAGAAGAGATTTTAAAATGCCTGGTCGAAATGAGGCCTTCTGTTGCTTGGCTCTCCAAGATGATAAACACCAGATGCAGACATTGATGTAACAATGATTATCCAGGCTGATGAGCATGTTACTTTGATTACAAGAGCCATGGACTTAGAAGCAGGACTTGGGAAAGCTTCGGGAGCAGCAGGAGATTTTGCAAATCCATTACTCCCTCCACTCTAAAGGCTCCAGCGTCCACTATGAAGAGGGCGGCCGACTGCCACTGGCATTTACACACACTCCGCCCCCAGCTTTCACCATACACCAATCAAATGTCTCCGAAAACAGGGAATTTGGTCTTTGTAATCTGAAAAGTCAGCCCAGCTTCGAGCAGTTTCACAAAAATTGGAGATCATGTGTGCTTTCACTCTTCATTGGACACTCAGTGCTCAGCATATTTTGGTTGAAGAAATGGAGGATATTCCAAACCAAAGAACCTTCTGTCCCAGTCAATACTGTTTTCATTTGCTTGATATTTAGAACCTCCAGTCCACAAGGTTCACATTGAAGAATTGTCTGTGAGGAGCCATATACTGGGACAAATGAAGATATCATATTTTAGTTAAATATGTGCTAATTTAAATCACATTTTATTTTTATTCAAGCAGTATAATTAACTATAACTGAATTATTTTTAAGGATTCAATCTGAAAACATAGGTAAACATTACTACCATATTACTGAGAAAAAATGACAATAAATATTTGTTTCCTACACAGATGATCCAGTCCAAAAGCATGTACAGTTACAGTTAATTTTTTACTTGATTTGTCCTATTTCAGTTCACTTCAACGTTTTTATATGAAATTTAATATATTCATACATACATGCACATAGAGCATTAATATATGCATACATACAAAATACCACATCATTAGGGATTGTTTGGTTAATGTTTACACAAATTTCATGACATCTATATACACTGTTTAGACTGCCAAGTTTTTCTTTGGATGAAGCCAGCATACAGCCCTAAAATAGGAAAATATGATGTCAAAAAGTAAGAATTGCCAAAATTGTTGTTTGTGTGCCAAAATTGACCTTCGTTTTAGGATGCATTATTGCAAATAAAGTCCTGTGTTAGGTTAGATGTGGTAGGTGTTTTTTCCCCTTAGATCTGTTGGATCTATGTTGAACATCTGTTGACTATTGGCTATGCATAGTGGATGATTACAGCTATTTAGCTGCATTATCCATGCTTAACATTCACTCTCTAACATAAGGGAAAATTTTACATGCTTTCAATTATCCATTTTCCTCAGCTAACAAAAACTGAGGCTCACTAAGGAAAACCTAATACGTTAAGCAGAAATACCTTAAAGTTCAAGCTATTAAAATACTAATTAAGAATTCTGCCATTGGGATTTCATTCAGACTATAGGGCTGTGCAGATTCAATTCTTTCAGTATTACCTACTAAGTGTTTAAATTTGGGCAAACCCTTAACATTCTGAGCCTCAGTTTGTCCATCTGTGAAACAGAGGCAGTAACACCTTACCCAAAGACTCTAGCAATTATTTGAGAAGATACATGTGAAAGCAGCATGTACTATAATTAAGAAATAAATTACAATTATTAAATTAATTACATATATACTACTAGAAGCATATATTGTATAAGAAGTGAGATATTCTTGATGCTATTTCTAATCATTGTTAGCTTTCCATGTTACATATATAAAGTATGTGTAAAACAGTTGATTAATTTCCTGTCATTTAAGTGTTATAAATAATATAGTCCTTTGCAAATTAGATATATTTAAGATCTTTCATTATGGAGATGGAGAAATATCAAGGAATATATCACCATTTAAATATCTCCTCATTTAGGGCCAGGCATGGTGGCTCATGGCTGTAATCCCAGCACTTTGGGAGGCTGAGGCAGGTGGATCACAAGGTCAGGAGTTCAAGACCAGTCTGGCCAACATGGTGAAACCCCGTCTCTACCAAAAATACAAAAAATTAGCCAGGCATGGTGGCACCCACCTATAATCCCAGCTACTTGGGAGGCTGAGGCAGGAGAATGGCTTGAACCCAGGAGGCAGAGGTTGCAGTGAGCCAAGATCTCGCCATTGCACACCAGCCTGGATGACAGAGCAAGACTCCATCTCAAGGAAAAATATATATATATGTGTATATATGTATATATATATATAAAATAAATAAATAAATATATTTATATTGCTGCTCTTATAGAACACACAGGCTAATGTAAGAGATAAACACTAAAGAGATATATAGAAAGGAATTTAATTGTAATTGTGATAAGTACCTTGAAGGAAAGATACAGTAAATTATAGAAGTATATAATAACTGGTGGAGATTGCCAAAGAAGGCGTCTCAGAGATGATTTAACCTCTAAGAGAGTTCAAAGAATTAAGGCCAATAGAACTATAAAATTTTGTAAATTGGTCAAAGCATACCAAGTTCACCCACATCTCTGAAATATCTGAACTTACTTTATATTTATACCTAATTAAGGAGCCTAGATTATTTCTGGTCTTCCCTTAATTTATATGCACAAACTGAATATAGACATTTAAATATAAATACAAATTTTGTTACTATTCCTTAACCAGTCAAGCTTATCTATAACAGATTTGATACTGGGTTGTTATTTACTATTGACAATTTTTGAACAATTATCTTGTATGAACATGTTCTGTGGAATGAGACGATGGAAAAATGAGGAAAATGTTACTGTGGAAATGACAACACTGGTTATTCTCAGAAAGCTTCTTTGAGAAACAGGGAGTTTATTTATGGCTAATTTAGCGAATTTGATATTGATTCTGAAGTATACCATCTGCCCAGATCATGGGGTAGCACATATTTTATATAACCCCAAATTATTCAAGTGATGGGCTTTAAAGTTTAAAAGAAAGTTAGGTTAAGCAATTTATGAGCTCTAAAATTAAAATCTATGTATTCGCAAAACAAATGAATTTCCCAAATAAGTTAGACATACATTTAAGAGACTTGTCATGATGGTTGACAATACATGAGCGTCCAAGAAAAATATATCGAAGTTTGAATATTTCAAACTCCCAGAATATTCAAAAGGCTTTTGCCAGCCTGCTCTAAAGCTGTTGCGTTAATGCCTGCCCCTCCTTCACCTGTTTCTCTCTTAAATTTGATGTGATCTATCTATGTATGTCTATATATTCAGCAATACAAATAAAATAATTGAAATTTACATTTTAATGTGTTGTCTTCATGTGTCTTGATAATATATATTAAGCTTGAATTTTGTGAGGAAATTAATATGATTTACTAAGAAAATTTCAGCAAAATTTGTCTATTAATGAGGGGAAAGGAAAAGTAGAGGTCATACTTAATAATGCTGACAGATCTTTATGTTTCTAAAAGATTTCAGTCTACATCAGTGGAAGCAATGTATATTAGAATGTATTTGTTTATCCAACCATTACCTTCTTATCACATTAGGAATGAAGGCACCACTTAGCACACTGGGCTGGTGTGCGCCTGGCATTCTGAACCTTAATCTGACTAATGCTCCCATTGCAAGATGTAAATAGATTACAAAGAAAAATTCAATATTTTCTCCCTTCTCCCACCAGAGCAGCCCACATTAGTTGTTTCCTGCCATATAATTGCATTACATGCCGGGATGTAATCCATGGTTAATGGCAGTCACAGTCAACTGTCACTTTGCTTTTAGCCTCGGTCATTCAGTATGATTTACATATTTAGCAACCATGACGAGACCTAGATTTGTCAAACCACTTGTGGAGGTTGTGATGCTAACTGCTACCAAGAAAATTTTTGTTGTTGTTGTTGAAGGACATCTTTGCAGGCGGTAATGCACGTAGATGCAGAGCATCTGTAATGTAAATTAATTAATTTATCAAGTATTTTTGTGTCCTTAAAAATATTTACTACATTACTGGATTAATACTTCTGATTAATAATTTTCATTACCTGGAAATTAATTTTTGTTTTAGTTTCTTATCAATTAAACAAACTTTTAAAAATAAAAAAATTACTTTTGCTTAGTAGTAACAAACATATAAACTTGTCTCCATAAACCTGGCATAAAAATGTTGAAAATCTAATTTATCACAGCTATTAACAAAACATATAATTGCATATAATAAATCTTTGAACCCCATTGAAATGTCAGAGATGGTAAATTTTAGGAGATTTTGTTATGTAAAATTGATATCAATTTAAATGCACTTAAGTCATTTAGTTATTCATATGAAACTCTCCTCCCTGGGGTAACTTGAATGCCCAAAGATTGGCAGAATGAAAGGTGAAGGCCTCTCATTGCTTTATTTTATACATGAACTCTCTTTTCAGAACCATGCCTGGTTTCCCATAACACATCGTTCTGGGAGAAGAGGGTTAAACAATTATTAGCTGTGAGTGAGGAATTCTTATTGTTTGGTTGAAAATAGTCCATCCAGTTTCTTTGTAAAAATCCCGATGATCTGTAAGCCTAAGAATAATTGCCTTACTCCAATCCACTTCTCATACCTTCATCAGAGTGGTGTGCCTGTGTGTATGAATATGTATGTAAAATACAAAAGTAATGATTTTTTACTTTATTTTTGCACAATTTTCGTGTGTTCCCTCATCAAGTTCCAGCTTGAACCTTTAAATGTTTCCTATCGCCAACTTAAAGGAAATCACAGTTCCCTGTAGGAATGGGGCATGCCAGGTCCTCCACCTTCTCGCTCCTGCCTCCTGCCTCCTTCTCCAGACCCATTTTCATTTCCATATTCCACTTACAGTGCCATGTTCTCCCAGCACTTGGTGCCCAGTGTCTGATATGCTACTTCCTTCGCATCTAACAAGTAGTCACATACCCTTCAAGTTTCTGCCAAAACAAGATGATCTGAACAAAGCAACCTTCTTCCCTTGAATCTTCTTCCAGACAATACCCAGAATGTAGCCCCTTCCCCAACTTCCTCAGAAGAAAACTTCCACCTCTTCATTTCCACAGTAATTGGTACATATTTAAATTTGTATTGATTTTTTTTTCCATTGCATTGGTCTGAATGTCGACATCTTTCTCCCACATGTACGAGAAAACCCTTCAAGGGAAGGGAGTGTTGATCAGCTTTATCTCCTATGCATCTAGCAGGGGACCTAGCTAAAATGAAAGCTGCGTTGAGAGCAGATCTGGTTACTGTTGTATCCATGAAACCTAAATAGAGGTTATGCAAGTATCTGCTGAAGGAATGAATCAGTGTACCTACTAAGTGAAGAGATGTGGATTGTGTTCTGGTGGTTCAACATTTCTCTATCAATTTCTGTATCTTGGTGTTCATTGTTTTCCTCCATGTAATTTAATTATGTTGGACATTTAACACTTTTAATACTAATGGCATGTGGAGGAGAGGCAGCTTCCATTTTTCCTAATAATTCAGCAGAGCATTTCTATTATGTCTAGCCTGCCATAAAAATGTTGACGTCAGAAAACACTTTGATCCTGATATTAACACTTTGATCCTGATATTAACCCGATATTAACAAAAGCAATCTTTTGTTAAAGAACCCCCCGACAAATACAATTAAAAATATGCAAGTGTTGCTAAACTCTCCTTTGTGGTGCTTAGGTTTGTCTTCTGCCCTGATATTATTAGCTTCTGCTAATTTGACAAGGTCAGCAGTGGCACTATCTGCCTTGCCATTATCAAAGGTTGTAAGGCATTTCTCTTGGATGAATCACAAAATCATTAACTTCTCTATCACTGAAAGAGCTTCCCAGCTATTCTTTCTGTCTTTCTGAATCAATATCCCCAGGGTATCAGTGTCCTTTTATATTCAACAGAAATTATGAAATCATTCCACCCGTTTCTCAGGGCACTAGCTAATGGGGACCTGAAGAAGACTTTAATTGTCTCTGACAACAACTCAACCACTTTTTTCTTCATATGTGGATCCTGTTCTGCCCAGTAAAAGAAGGGACAAACCAAGTTAGGAAAATGCCGAGGCAAATTTCGGACAGTGTTGAAGAATATTCCACAGGCTTTTATTAAACTCCCATTCTATGGAGATTATATAACATTCATTAATGTACTTTATACCAAAAGATGTTCCTTGATTTTCAGTGTCAGAGATGTCCAAGTTACTGTATGACAACTTGCCTGGGAAAGTCTGGTTATTTGATTTTTCTACAGCACACTACCCTTAAGGTAAAAATTTAAAGATAATAAATTCTGAAGGACTAAATAACATTAAAGGAATGTATTAAAACCATTTTCAAATCTATATGCCTATGTGTATATGAAGAGAGAACTAGTACAGAGATATATGTATATGACTTGCTTTAATTCTGTATTCTCAGTGGCTGGTACACAGTGGGCACTGAAAAAATAGTTTTGAATAAAAAATTAAGGAAAAAAAGAATGATTATTAGCTATAGCTAGTGTTTTTAAGGCAGCTATAGTCATTCACGTATTTATAACTGAGAGCAGAGTGTGGCTTGCCCTCTAGTGGTCTGTTTTAGCGAACTTTAATCCTGGCCTTTGAAAGATAAATATTTACTTGATAATAGTAAAGTATTTATAGTAAAATATTTACAAATGGATGGTAAAATAATTTTCATTTTTAATAAACATATGTCTAATAAAGCTTTCTTTTGTCCATTTTAAAATTTTATGGTGAAACATCAAAGAGAATTTGGAAAACTAGAAATAAAAGGACTTTACCTTTTAGAAAAATGAAAATATTTAATATATGACATTGATATTTTAAGCCATATATTATTGTTTTTTAGTTATACTTCCAATTTCTGTGCCTTACGTAAAATACGGAGAGGACTTTAAATTGTTTTTCCTGTCTTCTATTACATGTCAAGTGTTTCACAGATGGAAAACAGAATCTATCTAACAATATTGTAATTATCGACGTGAAACGCAAACGCACTCTTCTTTTGGAATGTTCTAATTATGGCTACTTAGGAAACTACTGACAATTTATATACTAGTGTGGCTGATTAATACTTACCTTTTCATGTTATTTATATTGTTTATATTTGATTACTATTATGCAAATAATTATTTGAATTAAAATGGCCTGCTACTCTAACATCAAATATAATAATATACTGAGAATACAATTAAATGAACATACATAAACACATTTCACGAAATGTATTTTTCTCTCAAGAATTCACTAATTATCTAGTAATTGTGTTCAGTCTAGGTAGTTGCAGTTATTTTTAAATGAATTAATAACAGGGTACACACATTTTAAATAATATTTTAAGCAACAGGCATTTAATCAGTTATGTAAAAGAATGGATGTCAAGCTTCAGATTTTTTATTAAATTTCTTCATCTTATTTGTTGATTTTAGCATCTTTCTTTATTTTAGTTTATGATTTATATAATAGAAATAAAGGTGGAATTTTTCTAGCTACAATTCAGGGCCTAGAAATTAGGAGTTGAGGGCTGAAATATGTGCAAAGGAGCATAGAATTATAGACTAAGATTCTGTGAGGAATCAAAACTTTAGTCTGTATTGCACTATACTCTGACTTACTATCATCAGATATAACATTAATAGTTATATTGAAAAGTATAGGTACAGACTGCAAAAAAATGTATGGTTACTAGAAAAAAACTACAAAAAAATTTTCTCTGGGCTTCAAAGTTTTTAATTGTGATAATAATCGAGAATAAACTTAATCAGATGTTATTAAATATTTTTTATTTTTGGTATTCCACTTATATATGTCAAAATTCCTACTTGTTAGAAAATTAAGCTTTTCACTCAATTCTCCCAGATTTACTTAAACTCATTTTTGAAATTCAGCATTATGTAGGAATGCTACATATCATTTCCATAGGAAATTGTGACTGTAACACCAGTTTCAAAATTAAAATGATTTTCAGTTCTCTTCCTGAATCTAGAATATTCATGTCTAGATTTCTAATAGTTTCTGGAAGAAAGAAGATGTTTACTCCTCCAATAAATTTGGGATACTATATTAAAAATATTCTTTACTGTAGGACATCTCAAGGCCCATTAAAATTAATGTGTAATATTAATCTCCAAGATGGGTTATAACATACAGCTCATTCTCAAGTTATTTGAGGATTCCTTTTTCTAGAAACTTTGACCAATACCAAATGCTGATCTGGTTTTTTCCTTTTTGGGAACAAACTAGACTTGAGTAAGTCACTGAAAAATGAGTAACAGTAAAAATGGAGAGAAACGAAAACACATCAAAGAAAGAGGGACATAATGAGTCACAGCATGAATAAAAACATAATTTCAAAGGGCATTTTTTTTAGTTCAGCCTGTCTGGAGCAGAGAATTCATATTGACAAATACTGTTTATTGAATTTGAGCCAATAACAAGATCAGATTGTACAGAGTCTAATTGCCAGGTTAAGGGATTTAGGCTTTATCATATAATGTACAAGAAGCCATTACAAGTTTTTAATAAAATAGATGATAATGTCCATCATTTATTAAGCACTTGTCTTAGAAGCTTTTCTAAGTGCTTTCCCTGTATTAACTCATTTATTTCTCTCAACAGTCCTTTGGTGTAGGTAGAGAATAACGGAACAAAATGTCAATTAACTTTCCCAGGGTCTATAGCCTAGTGGATGTTGGAGCTGGCATGTGTAGATCCCTAAGCAGTGTAATTCCAGAATTGTTGCCTTTAAACCCTATTCTATGGTATAAAGAGTATCCTGTATAGGGAGATTAATCTGGAACCATATGAAGGATGGATCCAAGAAGCAGAAGACTGGAAGAAAAATTGGTTGGTCAGGAGGCTTTTCCAATAAACCAAGTGTGAGATCCTAAAGTGTTTAATGGGATGCCAAGAGGAATGGAAAGAAAAGGGTGAGGTTTAGAGATTCAAAGAAGGTAACATTGATACTAAACATTTGACTTAATTCATGGCTTCACATTGATCCAGGGAAGTGGAGTTCCCTGTATGCGTTTTAGCTGATGGTAGCATTAACAACAAGATGACAGAGAAATTATGATACCACTGACAAAACTGAGGAACTCATACAGAAGAAACAGTCATAGGGGAAGACGATGAGTCTGAGTTTTGAAGATCTTTAGTTGGAAATGATGTCAGCATACTAGAATTATGTGACTCTATATCGAGAGGAATAAATGGCTATACATAGAGACTTGGAGTCTTCAGCACCAACATGATGGTTGTGATCAGGGGAGGCTACGAATTTTTTCAGGACAAGGATGAGACAGGAAGAGCTGAGGCTAGAGAATGGGTCTTGGGATCCGCTAAGTGCTACAAGTGTGTAGAGGAAGAAAAATCAGAGAGGAAACTAATATTTTAAAAAGGAAATTGTAATGTTGCAGAGCCATGTAGACAAATATCCTTAAAATGATGACATGCAACACTGTAAAAAAGGACAAAAAAGAGAACCAGGAAGAGGGGTGGCAGTTAAACCATCTCATTGGTTTGGACTGTTTAGATGTTGTTAAAAAGAATTCAGTGAGTCATTCCAGAGTTAGCAGCTGTCGTTTATCTATCCTAATTATCTAATGGTGCCTCATTAGCTCATTTTTTCTGGTCAGTTTAAATAGATAAACACTTTCCTTTGTATCTGCTGATTAATTTACTTGGTATGATATTATATTAAAGAAGAATTGAAAATGATTATTCTCCCATCATTTAAAAAAGTATGTTTGATAGTTTCAAATTCATGAGAGTAAAAACTTGGAAAACTGAAGAATGCAACACATTTATCAAATTCCTGGACGTTTGTTGACTTCCTACTCTGCTTCTAAAATTGTAATGATTTTCAGGTGATTTAAGTGCAATTTCTAGTCATTTAGTGTATATGTGTGTTTCTGTGTATATGCACATACTATTTATTATTTGTTATTTGTATTATACCTTGCATGTATAATATTTATTAATATCTTACTTACATTTATTAATATAAATAACCCTTAAAATCAAATGTACCCTCAACATCAAAAAGTGAAGGCATTAGAAGAGAGTAATAGTGAAAGAAAATCAGATGTATCCTGGATATTATCATTGGCATATAATATATATATTATTATCACCATATTGTGTGTATATATATGAAAGTATTTATTAGTTTTCTTAATGCAGTACAGCTATTTAACAACCCCAGATTGCTAAGGTTGTTACTGATTAATTTTTCCCAGATTTACCATCTGTCTGGGCTGACTACATAGCCATTTTGCTAGGGTTTTCTTCCCCGCCTCTGTAAAAATTAGCCTTACTCAACATGACGACTTTTTTAAAAATGTAAAGTAACACGTCATATATTATTACATCAAAGACCATTCAAAATAGCAACTTTTAAATATGTGAGTGACAGGATAAATTACTACCGAGTATTATGCTTAACATCACTATCACCTAGAGCCAAAAACCATCATGCAGTGTTGGTGGTTTGGTGACATATTTTGACTGGAATGTGCTGTGCTATTGGGCATCAGTCAAATGTGGTAATTTATGATAATTACTCATCTGAGGCAGATAAGAAAGCAACATCCTAAATACAAATACTGTCATAGCACTATTGCCCTGAACTGGTTGCCGCAGAGTTGAATATTCTGCAACAACTTTGTGATTTTACTTCCAATTTACTTTTGATTATTCTTATATGATATATAGAATCTTGTCTACTTTTATCTACATTTCCTGAGAAAGTAATAAAAATAAATGGCCCCACCTGTTAAGATTAAGATGAAAATTGAGATTTCATAATGAAAATAAAAATCAGATGGATGATGTAAATTTTAAAAAACATGTTTTCTCATCCTTTTCTTTTTTCCAGATACTAAGAGAAAAGGCACATGTCAGCATATTTTCTAGTCTTCTGGTAGCACTTTCAATAAAAAAAACCCTTTAGAGTTACTCTTTACCCTTGAAATGAGTTCAGTCTTGTATTCTTTGTATCTACTCTTGGTCTTCCTCAAAGACAAGATAAATCAGAGTTGTGACCTTACTCCTACTCTTTCTAGAAGACAGATTCTCATTTCTTTCAGAAACTATGGTGTTTGCCTTTTCAACATCTCCTGTATTTAAAAATTGACAGTCCCAGCAGTTTTACAGTTAGATATAAGGCTATATTGACACATATTTTCCCCCAGTAGTGAAGCAAGTGATAAATTCTTATGGAGAGCATGAAAGTTTCTAGAACAAAAATGCAATGTGCTTCATAATCTAAATCTGACAAGTGTTGAGGAAGAACTTTTCAAAATAATGATCAGACCAATTCGCTTTAGTTGCTTAAAATATTATGTCACCCAATGACAGAACCAAAAAAAGTGTTTATAAGGCATACTGCATAATTAGGAAGTAAATTCCTAAGATATATGGCTAATACAGCAGGGTTTGAATAGCTCCATTTCTAAAGCTGAATCATGGTCTTTGATGAGAGTGGGTTATAACAATGCAGGCTTTGAGAGCCTTGCAAAATCTCAATTAAGTTGCTGAAATGTTTCCACAGTTTATTTTTCTAGGATCTTTTCCATGACTGCTCGCTCATAAAGACCTGGCTGTGGAAGGAAATTGGACAGGAACTCTTGAATTGGCCTCTTGTTTGCCTAGTTCTATTGACCTGTACCAGGGTGGTTACACTTTGGAGGCCGTAAGTTGTTCATTTGCTACTGTTCTTAATCAATAAATTGTTCCTTGCCAATGAATAATTAGAATCAAATTCTGATAACGGACCAGTTAAAGCAGGGAGCAAAATTCTGAAATTAAGAAGTGAATATTTGTTGATTTTTCTCTTTGAGCCCCTGTCATATATAGCGTTGTCATTTTTATTTAGTAAGAGATTATTGGAATACTTGGGTAAATAAGCGTAAGTCTCTTATTTTAGATGGGTTGCATTTGAACACCTTAAAAATATAGAAGTTTTTTAATGAAAGCAATTGTATAAAAAATAAAAATTAATATCATAAGATCATAAAAACTATAAAACAGACCACCCCCAAATTTAAACTGCAATGAATGACATCATAGGGCAAAGACATTAGTTGATGATTCATATTAATGAGGGTATGCACACATATATGCATATGTAATATCTTTGCAAAAGCTTTTTAAAGAGCTGTTAATTTGATTTTGGCACAAAGGTTAATTTTTCGTGCCTTGTTATAATGTGTCAGCATTTTTTTGAAACCACAGCTCAATTTTGTTACTATATTTGTAGACCTGAAGTGACGTGTGTTTTTCTCCAATTTAAAAGAATTTTCTCCTTGCCTTTAAATAATAGACAAAATCCGTAATGAAATACCCCCTGAATTATTCAGTACCTTGATCATGATTATAATTTATGCTAGCTTTTTCAAGAGTGCTATTGAGAAGTTTAGTTTACAAAGATGTGATTCATATAACACATATATATGTTCTTTACATGTATCTGCCACAGACTTGGGTCAAGAGGAAATGATAGTTGCCCCAAATGGACAACTAGGAATTTGAAGACAGAAAGTTAAAGAAATGCTAAAAGTGCTGTTTGCTTTTTTGCTGTATTTAGAACTGAGCGGTGGGTAAGCTTGTTCAGAGGGGAGTGCTGTTTGCAGTAAGTAAGAGGCAGAAGCCCTAAGTGTTCAAAGACAAAGAAAAATGAAATACATTTGCCAAAAACTGGAGGACCAGGAAGTGCCATCTTATATTACCATCCACTGAATGTTCATTATTTCATAGAAAATGTCGGTGGGACTTCAAGAATAGGAGTCATGTTTTACTGCTAACATATGTGGAGTTAAGATAAAATCATGCATTACAAAACTGTAGGAAATAAGTGTTTAGGATTCTTAGTGATATTACATAGTGGTGATTGATTAATGACATAAATTTGAAATTCCTCTTGGACTGATGTGAACTGATAATTAGGGACTGTGGTGAAAGAGAAGAAAATGCCATAGAATTCTGAAACTAGAATTTGTTTTGTTATATCAAGGATACAAGTGAAAAATTTTCACTGAATATAAGTGAAATGGTGGGGGAGCAGATGGAAGCGGTCTTAACTGACAGCCAACAATGAGGAATTTGGAGGAGTGATGAGGGGCCATGCTATTTTATGCTTTTCTTAAAGAGTTGGCTAAATGGTTTTGAATATTCTTCAAGTAAAAGGACAGAAATATAATAAAAAGTACATAAAGCATGTTGATTATTCTATTATTTTAGCATCTTTTAATAAAGTTGCTAAAGGGTTTATTTTATTTGACATCTATTCTTTCAGAAGGTTTGTGTCCTGATGGCAGCCAGATGATATTAGAAAAAAGGAACTGAATTTGTTGCATTAGAAAATTATGTCAAATGACTCTCTAATAGACAATAAATTACAATTACAAATCAAAATAAAAGCCAACTTATTAATGTTACAAAAGAAGAGATGTATTGTCCAATAATTACAAACTTGAAGAAAATGGGTGACATATTGTCTTAGTTCATTTTGTGTTGCTATAACAGAATACCACAGACTGGCCAATTTAAAAAGAAAAAAAGTTCACAGTTCTGAAGGGTGGGAAGTTCAATATTAAGGTACCGGCAACTTTCTAGGGCCTTCTTGCTGTGTTATTCCATGGTGAAAGGGGAGAGGGTGAGAAAGGACATGAGAGAGAAACCAAGAAGGGGCCTCTCTTTTGTAACAAACCCACTCTAGAGTAACAACAATAATTCATTGATGAAGGCTGAGCCTACATGATCTAATCACCTCTTAAAAGACCACCTGTCAATACTGTTATATAGGGGATCAAGTTTCCAACACATGAATTTTGGGAGACACATTCAAGCCATAGCACATATGAACCAAACTTTTTCACTGAATAGGAAGTTAAGATATGGAATACACTTAGTGAATATAAATAAAAGTTAAAAGAGTAAATTTTGTAATGGACAAAGAGCAAATGTAAGGTTAGTCAGAGTCCAGGATAACATCATTTGAATAATCTTGGATGTGATATCTGTGCGATTCTTTGCGGGAGAGAAATTTTAAAGATTATGGTAATAGTTAATACCACTATAATATTCAATATAACCTGAACTTAAATCTGTGCTTTTCCCTAAGAGGAAGTTACAGGGAACAATTTTATTAAGATTTTCATACAATAAAACTGTCTATTTTCATTTTTAGTAATAATGAAAATGGTAACTGACATGTACTGAGTGCTTTCCACGTGTGTGTCAAGCCTGTGCTGAGCATTATATGCATTGTCGTGTAACTGCTCAGATTAAATGTAAGTCTAGCACAAAATGTTTGTCCATATAAGTCAAAAAATGTTGGCCGAGCACACCCCTATAATCTCAACACTTTGGGAGGCTGAGGCTGGAGGCCGGCTTGAAGCCAGGAGTTTAAAGACCAGTCTGGGCAACAAAGCAAGACCACATCTCTACCAAAAGAATTTTAAAAATAAGCTGGGCATGGTGGTGTGCAACTGTTGTCCCAGCTGCTTGGGAGGCCGAAAGGGGAGGATCGATTGAACCCAGGAGTTCAAGGCGGCAGAGAGCTATGATTGCACTACTGCAGGCAGCCTGGGCAACAGAGCAAGACCCTGCCTCTTTAAAAAAAAGTTTATATGATAATTATTTTCTGTTACATTTCTAATAAAGTTTCTAATCCAGTTTTTACAAGGTGATTGGGGGCCAGTCATAATCCATTGTTGCAACCAATCACACTGGAAGTAACATGTTCGTCATTAAAAGACCAACTGTAAATGCTCCTTTACTTTTGTCAAAACTAGTAATGAAGTAAGAACACAGCACCATGATACGAATTTTAAACATTCCTCAACTAATGGGCCATACTTTTAGAAGAAATAAAACAGTGGTCACTTCTTCAGAGGCTGATTTGTCAACATAACACTAAGGGAAAAGAAAAGTCCTCTCTTCTTCTGCTGTGGCTGAATCACCACAGGCTTCCAATCAAAAAATAAATATTTCCAACATAAGAGGAAGGAAGCTTTGGTAAATATATGTATATATTTTTCAAAAACTGTTTTACATGAAAGAGGTCATTCATCACTGTAAGAATATTTTCAAAGGTAGCATCAGACGTGAAATTCAAAACTCCCTCAAAACTGAATCCTGAAAAAAGAACTATAACAGACAAAAGAATCCTTGGGTTTATATGTGTTCCTGGATTCTCTGATTTGCCTTTATAATACTTTCACAAGCTATAGTTTATTATTTTTAAAACCACTTTACTTCAAAATTATTGTATTTCAGCATCTAATCCATACACATGTAATAAGAGGAGCCAAATAATTTATTAATTTAACAATAGTGATGGAGATTTCTGCACTCATTAGCATGTAACAATATTCATATTTGTTAGGTTGAAAATGACCTTTGCCCTATGAAAAGTTTTGTTAAGCTAATTAGTAACAAAAAATATGTTGCAAATGGACATTGTTAGCCTCCTTAAAAAGCAAACTTCTTTTAACTTCTCTTAATTAAATAGCAAAATTATGTGTAAATACTGTATTTGTGGAATGATTGATACTTGTTGCTGACCAAAAAAGCCCTAAATTATAGTCTAGTTTTCAGAATTCTGAGCCAATAAAAAAAATGCCTCTAGCTAGTTCTTTTAAAGAACACAAGCCCACACTGAACAGAGGGCTAGCTGCTTATATGTCATTAAAAAGCAAAACCTAATTGTACTATCATGTATTTATTGCGTCTATAAAGCACCTTCCAAGAACTTAAGTAAGAACATTAATTTGTACCTGTATTTTAATGCAGAAGTAGAATTCCATCTCTTTCAGTGCTTATGAGTTTGGTGTTTTAATTCCACCCCAAATTACCTAAATTCTACAAATATTTATTAACACACAGGGAGTAGTATTATTCTAAGAGTTTTTCGACTAATGATCATGCAGTAGTATCTAAAATAGCTATTGATGTTAGAAAGTTGTAACATTTCTTTTCCATGTAATAGCACATGATATGCCCAAGGGAAAAAATATACGGTATTTGTACATAAACCCAATCAAGGTGATATCAGTGGGACTGAATTTTTCTTCCTTAAATAACCAGTAAATGAAAATTGCTCTCTAGCATCTCAAAGGAGAAAATGCTAAAAACTATTAGCTAACAGAGCTTTCTGCCTGGCTGCATTAATTTTCTATTCATTTTAGTAAAAGGAAAGTTTTGATAGGCCTTATAAATTACAACATGTTCCTAGTAGACTAATAGCTTGAGGAAGAACATATAATAGCTCTCCTTAATCAAAATAAGAGCAAGTTGTTGTTTATGCAGCTGAGGAACCTTGGATCAAGGGTGCTGATTTTATTATTTCGATGCCAAAACAAAAGTAATCCATATAAACATGACCAATGTTTAGAAAGGTTAGGAAAAAACTTATTAATGTGGCTCTAGCAGGCAGAGTTTTTTGGGAACTCATCCATTTTTTATAACTAGCTTGTTTTTTTTAGAACTTAATATGGCCAGACATTGTTGTATAAGCACAAGGGCCATCATATTGAGCAAAACACTTCTATAGTCCCTGTTCTCATGGAATTTATTGTCTGGCAAGAAACCAAATGGGTAGAATAAGGTTTGTAGGACTTTAAACTCCTTCAAAACTGGAGACCATCTAACTATTTATTCGTTGTGGCATGATAAGGTGCTAAGAATGAAACCAAAATGGAAATAATATTTATGTTCTATTAATATTAAAAAGAAAATCCTGCAGCACTTCTGTGAACTGGGTGTTATAGGACTGGCTGATCCCAAAACAAAACTCCTACGTTTTTATCATTTATATTAAGTTTCCATGTCAATTGGTTTTACTGGTCAAACTACCTTTAGTTCATCTACTATTGAGTCAGACACTAAAGGTGTATTAAGTCTTCCAAGGATGGAGGGATTATCCTCATGTGCCTACTGTTTCCTGAAATTTAAATCTGCACTGAATGGCCTAGGATGTATAGACAGTTAACCTCCCTGAAACACAGCCTATCCTTTTTTGTTAATTTCCACAGTGAATGACAGTTCTTTAATATCTATCTTTTCCTCCCCAGTGCTCCCATCTTATATATGTGCACATACATACCTCCAACTTCTAACCGGACATCAATGTAAACTTACCTTAATAGCTTTGGCAGATACCTGTGATCAAGGGGAGGGAGCTTACTGGAGTGTGTTTGGTCTCCCTGGAAGACTGAAGGGGTTTAGGTTTCCTGTAATTGACTCCTGTGCTCCTCCCTTTTTCTCCCCACAACTTCACTTCTCTCGCCAGATCAGTGTCAGTAGGTAAGTAAATCCATTATTTGAAAGCTGTCTGTTGACCTTTTCTTCATGATTGATTGCATGAAAAGTGCATGGGAGTGAGATTTCCAGAGAAGAGAATGGTCATGCTACCTGCCCTTGCCACTTCTCCCAGAATATCACTGGGGTTTCCCACAGAGGCAAAGGCTGCTTGGATAGAAGCAATACCTGAGAATGCTCTCAAGTAACCATGGTGAAGCTGAAAGCCACATCCAGCATTGCTCCACAGCCGGTGAGAATTATTTATAAAGACAGGGCAGGGGCTGAGTGGTTTATTGGCCTTCAAAACATTCCTGATGGGACAGTGACCAGGTCTGCAGTTGCCTAAGGGTGTTAAGCCAACTTTTAAACCTCCACCTATTATATCCAGAGTATTCCTTCTAACTTGGACTTGAAGAATAACCAGATTCCAACCTTTTCTCAAGTTGGAAGTTACATAATGAATGATAGCTGTCCTAGAATAAGAAGTATATTTTAAAACTTTATACCTTAAAATATTTTTCTTACTTGAGTCTGCATTTCATCAGGTCTCCTGTAAAGCTTTAGTTTTCTTCCATGTCCATGAGGAAAAAGAGGTTTCATTATCAAGACTCTTCTAATAGTGAATATTTTAAACTTGCTCTGGAAAAAATTAAGCACAAGTACGTTTGGAGAAGTACATTTTTATTTTAATAAGACAGTAGATTTGTTGCAGCAAAAGATAGCAAAGTATCAGTAGTTGAAATAGCGATTATATGTGTCTTGACCAAACTTAGAATCCTTATGAAGTTTTACATGTCATTTCATACAAATCAACTCCAAAATAAAATTTTAAAGGCAAAATTTGAATTCAGTTATAGTGATATATGATCCTAAGGAAAAAAAAAAAACACTGTATGTTCCAATCTGAAAACATTTTTGGAAGGAATAAAACGATAAAACAGAAGGGGTTTTTCACTGTTTTTAAAATTTTATAAATATGTAGAGATTGGCTTAAAGTTTGGGATACAACAAATCAGTGAAGAAAAAATCGTACCATTATATGTTAGCATCAGCTAACATTTGTATACACTTTTTACTTTTTAGAGTACTTTGGTAAGGAGTATCTCATTCAGTGTTTTTAGAAAAGATGGAATGTTTTCCTTTTTTATGTAACACTTTTCAACTAGTCAAAGGAAAATGTTTAATTTTAAGTACAGCTACTCTTGCTTTCCTTTGCTTATGGCTTACTGAATGATCTTTCCTTTTGCTAAAATAATTAATACTATATAATTCTGATTTGAGGCTAGAAAATAAGAAACTCAAAGATCATTACAACTGGTAAGCAAAGTTGTGCATGGGGCTGAATAAAACAACTCAAAAAGAATGATTATTCAAAATATTGTTACCTAATTCTGCAACATTAAGGGAATTATAAGCAGTAGTTGCTATTTCCTTGTTCTCTACTGACTTTCGGGGTCCATGATAGATGTTTGGTAAATAATAGTCTCTGATGCTTGAAAAGCCTTAAAGCTACTTATTATTATCCCCATTTTACAGATAAGAAAACAGAATGTGAAGTGGTAGAGCAATTACCTAACTCTAAACCCAAGTCTCTGAGATTTGGAAGCTGTGCAGCTTGTGCATTATGCCATGACTATGATATATCTGCTCACTAAGTTGAATATCATGTAGCTATTTAAAAGCTTATTAAAGAATTATGTAGGATTATATGAAAATACTTGGGAGGAATAAATGACAATTTTGGTCTCAATAAAATGCGTATTTTTTAAAAGACTGGGAAAAACACAAGATAAAAATGGTTTTCTTATTATGCTTTTCACCTTTGCTACAGTTTCTTAACTTTCTCTAATACCATTATAATTATATTGCTCAAAAACATCTATTTTTAAATAATAAATGGATCAAATGGTCAAGTAGTAAATGAGTATGTGGAAAATACTATTATTTTATCTGTGTGCATTTTGTAGTGTATTAAATTCATTACATTAAGTCTTGTTATTTGTTTACACCACTGAGAGACCATTAGTGATTTCCACATGAGTATAGCCCATGTCTTATCTACACAGCGTGAAGACCAGCACAGTGATTGCCCTATAGTGTCTGCTAAATAAATCCCAGGTGAATGATCATTGAATAAACAGGGATCTTTCTTAAAACTTATTAATAATAAAGAGTTTGTGAAGTAAGTGTAGAATAGAATTAATAAGTTTAACTGCTCTTAAATGGCTTATATAGCATATATCAATATGGATTTATATTTTAAAGTAAGTGCAAGCTGTGGTTAAAAGCAGACACTTTTACACTGCTGGTGGGAATGTAAACTAGTACAACCACTATGGAAAACACTATGGAGATGCCTTAAAGAACTTAAAGTAGAACTACCATTCAATCCAGCAATCCCACTATTGGGTATCTACCCAAAGAAAAATAAGTCATTATATAGACACATGCACACGCATGTTTATAGCAGCACAATTCGCAATTGCAAAGATATGGAACCAACCTAAGTGCTCATCAACCAACGAGTGGATAAAGAAAACGTGGTATGTATATACCATGGAATACTACTCAGCCATAAAAAGGAATGAAATAATGTCTTTTGCAGCAACTTGGATGGAGCTGGAGGTTGTTATTCTAAATGAAGTAACTCAGGAATGGAAAGCCAAATGTTGTATTTTCTCACTTCTAAGTGGGAGCTAAGCTATGAGGATGCAAAGGCATGGACTTCAGGGATTTGGTGGGTGGGAGGGGAAGATTGGGAGAGGGTGAGGGATAAAAACTACATATTGGGTATGGTGTACATTTCTTGGGTGGTAGGTGCACCAAAATCTCAGAAATCATCATTAAAGAACTTATCCATGTAACCAAGAACCACCTGTACCTCAAAAACTATTGAAATAAAAATAAAAATTAAAAAAGTACAAATATCTATTTCTTGTTATATTTGTCCTCAATGCTACTGTCATTTAGTACCCAATATTTATGTTACTTGATCAAATTAGGGTTCTCTTGGATACAAAGAATGTCTGTTTTAAAACCTAGGATGAACTAAAAGTGATTCTTTTGTTAGTGGCACATACTAAAATATTTTAAGGTTAAAGCTTACAAATGACTGAGGATGGGAAGTTCATAATTTCCTAGTTAAAATGACAATCTATAATTGTTTTCCCTTCTATATATTTAAAATACATTATACACCACAAATTTAGGGATAGTGTAATTTGAAATACATACTCAGTACTTTTAATTTTCCATCAGATACTAATATAGTCTTCTTGACCAATCTAGGTCATTCACTTGTTTAAAAGAAAAAAGTTATTAGACATTTTTGGTTAAATCCTAATTTCTGAGGCTCAGTAAATGTTTCTTTTGAAAGTCAGAAAAGAGCTAAAATATGTAAATACTATATACACTGTCAGAACAGGATGCCACTCTTCTTGTTGCTAAGTTAATGAGTAAGGATTTATGCAATAATACTGTTTTTCTTCAGAGTAGTGTAATCTTCTAGTCCTCAGATGTTTCAGTTAGTTGTAGACATTTTGACATTAACAAAACATATGTTTCTATGTGCCATGTAGATAGGATAACGTATGTAAAACACCTTAAAATTGCAAAGTGCTATACATATGAAAAGTGTTGCTATTAATTTATGTCTCTGAATAATTTCTATTTCTCCATATGAATTGAATATTGCTTAAAATCTGGGTACTTTGTTACTCATTTGAACTTTAGTAAATCTTTGAATTTTCTTCTCCTTTTTGGCCCTTCAGATTGTTGTTGCTTCTGTAGTCGACAGAGTTTTCCACTAATTTCATAATTTTAAAATGAGGATGATAGAGTTGGCCTCTAAAAGAAGATGAGCTCTGGAGTCAAAACATGGGATTTTAAATCCTAGATCTGCCATTTAATAGCCATTTGAACTTGGACAGTTATTTAACTTGCTGAAGCCTTGGCTCCTTATCCATAAAATATGGATTTTAACCCATGTCCTAATTTATTCACTGAGATTGTTGTGAAGATTCAGAGAAATCATCTATGTGGAGTTAATGTGATCTTTATGATGTTAAGTACATATCAATTATTATCTTTTTATTATAATATGTGCAACTCAATTCCAAATAACATCTGCTATCCTCAGGGGTTTCATCAGTGCCACAGAAAGATACTGTGCTTAATTTTGTTTTGAAACTGACAATCTCTTTCCCTCTGGTGTTAGAGGCAATGGTTTTATCAATTTCAGGGGCAGCTTTTATAGACCAATAGATCCTGACCTCTATACTGGGTACAATTTGTCTTAAAACTGACAGAGTTACAAGTGATAAAAGGAATATAGTGCTGTTGAGAACATTCCCAAGAGAAGGGAGTGGGGAGTGTGTTAGAATCTTGTTTTCAGTTAGTTTTAGAAAATAAGTGATTACTTAGAAAGAAAAAAATAGAGAACAATAATTTGCCCTTTGAAATGAGAAAAATTAATGTAGATATGAGGCACTAGGGAAACATATAAAAATTCTTTCCAACTTAAATACTAGCTGACTTCATTAAAATAATTAGAAATGCCTATATTGATTCACATGCACAACTGTATATAACTGTATCACTTTGGTTACATTTGGAGAAATAAATCCTACTTCCAAATATTCTCTATATATGGTGGCCATATATATTCATATAAAATATTAAATGTTATTAAAATTTATCATGAAATCAGTTTTTCCCCAATTAATGTTTTCAATTAAAGGCAATAGTGAGTTACTTCTGGCTACTTACAATAGTGAAAATTTCATAGTAAGTTGCAACTTTAAAAATTTGTATCAGTTCTGCTCTTTAAAGGCATGTAAATATGTTACATGAACATCATTTAAATTGTATATTTAAATGTTTTAATTTTAGCTAAGATTTAGTTTAATAAGTTTTAAGCTTAGCATTGCCTCTTAGAAACAGAAGACCTCTGTCCTCCATTGACCAGATTTGCTTTTTCTTATGTGAACTTTACTTCTCCAATTTTAAGAATTGTGTTTAATATGGGAAGGCCTTTTAAACAAAGATATGTCCTTGAGAGGCATTTGTGCACTTTCTTTCTATAAAAGCATTGAATTCTGTTGGCTATACTTAAGGGGTGGGGAGGACAACAAGATCTGAAAAATATCTCCAGTGCAAATTATGGGGCCTCTTGGTCTAATTTTCCAACAGCT
Organism: Homo sapiens; assembly: GCF_000001405.40. Classification (NCBI taxonomy): domain Eukaryota; kingdom Metazoa; phylum Chordata; class Mammalia; order Primates; family Hominidae; genus Homo; species Homo sapiens. The sequence continues at coordinate 95,494,404 of NC_000004.12, read as the reverse complement.
GAAAAATTTCATCAGCACTAACTTTTTTAAAGGTTCTGAAATCTTTTGAATGAATAACAAGTTGCCATTACTAATAAGCCAGTTGAATATCTTTACATATCCAACACACTGGACATTGTTATTGTATTTTAAATGGCTTGCTTTCCTATAAAATGTAAACTGATTTAAATATCATTTGATTCACACTTCACATTTGCCAAATAGCACCACTCTTCAAGCCTTTCCACTGAGTTAAGCAGTATCAGCTGAACATCTTTCCTTTTTTACTCATTGATCATTTGAATGATTTTTCTTTCTTGTCCTTTTCAACCTGGGGAACATTTTTAAGAACCCTGGAGTGAGCCGAAATAACTGATTCCTGCAGTTTTAATATCTCCTTATTGAATTTTGATATCATAGTTTAAATTTAATCATGAAATGTATCATATAGTTGGCATCTTTGGCAGATACAATTTTTAAAAGCGAAAAAATGGCGTTGTAATTGATAGAGAATATTAACTGTACATAGTAGTGGAGATTTCCTATCTATCATTTGCCTTCAGATTGTTTATTAATATAGCAGAATTGGCCTTTAGGTTGGAATATTGTTGATCAGTCCGCTGTCTTTTGACTTAATGATTTGCAAAACCTGCTGAAACAAGCAGGAATATACAGCCAGCTTTTGTCAGTATTTCTTAAATTCCTAGCCCAGTTACTGGATGCCATTAAAAACCTAGACAACTTTTGCCCCACAGTACACAGTTAGAAATGAGTACTTAAGCACACTTAAATTTGAAGGAAAGAAAATTTGAAAGAAATTTTTTTTAAAACTTAGTGTGTGTTTTGTAGTACCATTTTTTCCCAGATTAAAAAAAATTGTTAAAGTTTAATAAAGCTCACCATCTAGTGTTTCCATCCACTGACTAAAAAGTGTATTGTTGGATAAAAATATTCAGAAAATTCTCTTTAAAAATAGAGTGTACACAATAAAACTTCGGTTCGCAATTCAGTGTTTAAAAGTCTGTTCCTGACCATATTTCCTGCCATCTTTCCAACCATGAATTCCGCATTGTAATTGGATTGTTGTGCTCCCAGTTTTCCAAAGAGGTCTCTTGACTTCCTAATTCAAAGCTATATCCTTATTTCTGGCCTGGAATTCCTTATAACTCCTTTCCATTCCATTATGACTTCAGATTCTAGCTCCCGGAACATCTCATCCCTAATAGCTGCAGCCCATGGTCATTTCACATTTACCTGAATTTATTATTGCATTCATAATCTTTATTTTAATTTGGAATTAAGCTTACATTATTTATAATAATGTTGGTTACCGTTAAAGCTGCCTCTAAATATGTCATATGTTGAGTGCTCTACAACATGAATCCCGACATATAATCGGTGTTTAATAAATATTTTTTAGCTTTTCTGTAGTTTAAAAGGGTAGTCTGAATCAGTCAAAATCAGAATTGTCTATAAATTTTAAAGAAATGTTATTTACTACTCAATATATGCCTAGCTATCCAAATATTAACAAATAGGAATCTTTGGATAACTCCTCTGATTAATACCTAGGTGAAAATGACATCAAATAAAGCAAAAAATCACAATTATTTCAAAAGTTTTTTCTGTTTAGTTAAACACTGCATTTGAAAGAATTTGCTCTTCTGATCTCATTAGATAATGGATTTCTCTCAGAGTAAGAGTAAAGTTCATCACAGCAGGCCTCTCCATTAGTAACTTAATCTCCATTAAAGGTGAAGTCAAGATTTTTGTGTGTGTGATAACGTGAATTTTTGTGTGGAATTATTACATTTTCCTTTTGGACCTTGAATAAAATATACTTTTAAATCTTAAACACAGCTAAAAGCATTAATGCATAAGGTAACATAAAGATAAACCTTTAAGCTATCTAGTATATATTTTATGCGTGGTTATCATAAAAACAAAGGACAGATAATAATTCAGTCTTCTAAGGCTGCAAGAGAGCAGCTTAGTAACTGGATGCTTTCTGCTAAGATTATTCCATGTTAATTTTAACAGGAAGCAGAAACATATTCAAAAATTGATACGACAAAACGCTAAGCACATTCTAATTTTTAAAGAAATTAACAATAAATGGCGGAAGTAGCATGATAGAAGCAAACACATATAAAGAGTTATGAGCTATCATAATCTTGGCTACTCGGGGCAAGAAAACAATAAATTAATTAAGATAGTGTAGCTATTCATAAAATAAACCTATAATTCCTTCCCCAAACTATACATTGCTATTTAAATAGCATAGGAAATATAGCCTATTTTATATTAGAGATTTATTTTTATCATCCATCTCCCTATTTCTTTTCCTCACAACTACACACACACCCTCACACACACAGACAAAGCAAGCTTTCTTGTAACATTTTGCACAATAAATAGTAATTAGATAACTAACACACCACACTTCAAGAATTTCAGTATATTTCCCATGTTTTACACATACATTTTGATATAAGCCAAAATGGTCTGGCTGTCCTTGATGCTCCCAAACAATGTCAGTGACAGCGACATTATAGAGTTTGGACACATATTGATATTTAAATGGAATTTTCTGTTTGAGAATAGAACAAATCAGTAAATGACTCAAGAATGCCTTAGTAAAAAATAAATAAACACAATGCAGAAATAAAATCATCATTTTATTTGGAACACAACATATTTTACTATTGCTTTATAATTGATAGTTATAATTTTACTATTGCTTCATAATTTTCAAATACATTGTCTCATCTGATTTCTGGAACTATCTGATGTGGTAATTACTAGCATTTGTAACCCTAAGTGGGTTCACTAGCGGGTGAAGGAATCAGGATTTGGATATCTGTTCCTTGTGACTGTCCAGTGGATTCCTCTCCAAGTAACAACTAACTGCACAGTAAGCAGAATGAATTATCCAAGAAAACTGAATGGCTATTTTACTGACTTGTCTATATATAGATGGGCAGTTTTTCCATATGTAAGTCTTTAAAATGTTCATTAAAATAACTTTTGTTTAGTCTCTTTGCCTAACACCAAATGTTTCTTATCCTAAATTCTACATTTCTTTCTATCAATAAGTGAATATGATCACTTTTACAAAATATTGTTTCTTTTCTATCTTTAAAATAGCAATACAGCACTATATTGAGGCGATTTTCCATTTGTGCCTGTAATTATTTTGTCAGCCTCTAGTTAAACAATTTACTATGTTCACATTTTCTTACTTGTGTCATGCAAAGTTCTCATATATACCCACTTTTTTGGCCCGTCATTGAAAAAGTTTTGTTTGCAAATATTTTATTTTAGAAGGGGGCAATTTTGTGATCCCCCTCATCTTACTTTTCTGCTACCACCTTCCCATTGATTTGTTCATTCAACAGACATGTATTAAGCGCCTACTCTGTTCCATGTGCAAGGCATTACACTAGATAAAAACATTCCCTACCAGAAGTTCTCTCTGTCTAGCAGAAAACAGGAACTATATAGAATTAAAGAAATCAATTATATTCTAAACTTGACCTAGTACAATGAAACGAGACCTGCCTGGCTATATAATAACTTGATAAATTATTTGATAAATTGTTCAATTTTTAAATCATTTGTTACAGCATATTATACCTTTTAAAGTACTTTACTGTTTGTCCTTTAGCACAAGTGAAAAACTTCAGAGTTAACGGCCTATCTTTAGATGTTCCCTTAATCAATGTGACTAAAGAGTTAAATGTATTCAGAAACAAAATTTTATTCTTAGCAGGAGGATTATTGAGAGAGAACTACTGAATGATAATTTTTTTCCATTTATATTTGTGGTTATGCTGATCTTTTAGTAATATTTTACTGAAGCAATAAGGTAACTCACTAAAATGCAGATGAATCTATTATGTGTGTTACTTATGCCTTATTTCATAGATATATACATGCAGAATCTGAGACATAGTCAAGATGTTAATTATTTTATAGTGATTAGAATAAATTAACATAGGGGTTTTTTATATATTAATTAAAAGTTCACAATGGGAGCAGCTAAGCAATAAAATGTGACTGAATGCTTATTTTACTATGAACTTTAGGTTTATTGGCAGAACTGTCTTGAAAAGTTCAAACTTTTTAGAGTTGTCACTTTTTAATGCCTTTTTTTCTTTCAGTGATTTCTCTAAGGACTTGTGATAACTTGCTATATTTGATTTTGGCCAATGTGACCCCTTCCATCTTCTGGAAGTGCATCTCTTGATTGCCATGAAATCGTGTTCCGCTTCCCTTTTGCCTCTCTTCCTCTCAGATCTGTCCGTCTCTTTCTCCTTTCCTGGCTCTTCCTCTTCTCCACAACTGTTAAGTGTCCAGGCCTCAGGACTCCATCTGGGGTCCCCTTCTCTTCTCTGTGTACACATGTATTTTCCCCAGTTGTGTGCCATGGTTCTGATTATCCTTCTTAGGTAATCTCATTAAGTTCCATGGACTGAAATTTGACTTATATGCTAATGACTCCTAAATTCACAGTTCCAGCCCTAACTTTCCACTTGAAATCCAGAATCATACACTCATCTGCATAGTTAATGTCTCCACTTGAAACAGGCTCCTCACATACAACCTATCCATAAAACAAAAGTTGTTTCTCCCCCTTCTTCCGTTACCCCAAAATTCCTCCTCTGCATCCCATTCCATTCGTCAGCTTCTCACTGTGTACTCCAGTTATCAACATGTCCTGAGACTGATTTCACGGCATATGTAGAATCCATCTACTAACAGTCTCCCACACATACATCTCTCCATCTCTCTGCTCCCTTCCAGGGCAGGACTCTCACATCTATAATATGGCAGTAATCTAACTGTTTCTTGCTTCAACTCTTGCCCATCCAAAACACATTCTGCCCCAGACAGTGAGGATGGGCTTTTAACATCTATAGTAGGTCAGTGACTTTCTACCATGTGATCTTCTAATACCTCATCTCTATCCTCAGAATAAAATTAAAAAATTACTCTTCATCGTGGCCTGCAATGCCTTGTATCATCCCACTTCTCTCTGCCTCCCAGGTCACATCTTCTGCCGCAATCACTATCACTGAGTTCCACTGGCCTTAATTCTGTTCCTTAAAAATCCCCATGTGCTTTCCAACTTAGGGCCTTTGGTTCCTGTTTGCAGTGTCCCAACCTCAGAAATTGAACATGTCCTTTCTTACAGGCATTTGTTTTGTGTCACCCTATCGTCATGTCTGAAATCTTATAACATATATTCTTATTTTTCCTTCCTTCCTTCCTTCCTTCTTTCTTCCTTCCCTCCTCCCTCCCTCCTCCTCTCCCCCTCCCCCTTTCCTGCCTCCCTCTCTCCCTGCCTCCCCTCTTCCCTTCCTTTAGTCCTGTCTTCTTTTGGAATATACTCATTTTTATTAAGTCATGATACCCTCATCCCCTTGGTGCATAACACAATTTAACATAGCAGAGAATAAATACATGCCAAATTGGATGGTTTAGTCAAATTCTTATTTTTTGAACTGATCTTATGTTTTCTGAGGATACAGCCCAAAGCTAGAGAGCACGCATAGTTGTGTGAGAGTGAGCTGCTACTTTATCTAACATTATTTTTATCTAAAGTTATCTAAATATTTGAAATATTCTATGCTAACAATTTTTGCCTCCTCCTGAGGCTGCGAATAGAACTATTCTCAGATGGTCCCAAAGTTTCAGCACATTACGGCAGTTAACATAAAGCTTTTGGAAATGTTATATTAACCACTAAGGGGCATGTGCTACCATTAATCTGTATTACGAGTTCCTGTTGTTAATGGTAGAATTTGCCTGAGTGTGCATTTTTCTCCTTAAATCATGTATAATAGAGTATTGGTTCTTAAGAAATTACAGATACCAAAGAACTGATATTAAAATACTTAAAACATGTTGAGTGTGCCTGTTAAAGAACCAGTTCTCAGAAGCTATGGAAGTACTGCTTTGTTTTATCTTAAGGAAATTTTAGTTGAAAATCTGCTTTAAAAAGCTACGGAGAGCTGGACTATTGCTGTCAAGGAGGATATAAAGTGTAATTCGTTTTTCTTTTTTCTTTTGCATTTATATCAAGTAAATTCATGCAAATCCTTCTTAGAAAATATTTCTGTTTAATTGTTGTTATGAATAATATTGTCAGTATATTGTGTACATAGCACTTTCAGATTTTATGTATCTACTTATATTCAAAGAATTTACATAAAATAAATAACCTTAATATCAGTATTCCTGCTATTGACTCAATGGTTATTTTCAGAATATTTCCAGGATAGAGACTGTTTAAAATGTCATTTGGGCTTACCGTAGTTTGACTGAATGGGACTAAATTGCTTTGTTGATTGGACCAGTGTGTTAACCAAAGGAAGGTGAAAGGTTATCACTATCGTTAGTCCTATACAAAACATCCGAAAAGTTTTGAAGACAATGGGATGGGATTTACTAAAATTCTCTTCAACCTTCTTGTAAACAGTCTACTTAAATTAAAAAGACGAGCCTAAAATTTTGATACTATAGCCCAGGAGGAAGGAGTTAATCGATAAGGAATGCAAGGTCATAAAGTATACTTTCTATTTCCTTATAAGAAACTAAGGCTATAGTTTGACTTGCTGCTTGCCAACTTACCTATATGGTTACCAGAGTAACTTCCTGTTCTAAATTATGCTGTATGAAACTTACGTGTATTTTCTTAATTTAGACCCCAAATTTAGATTCTATTTATAATAACTAGGATGTGGTAGGAGAGAGTTCTCTAATAACTTCACATTTGTAGTTTCTTGCTCAAAATGAAAAACTTTTTGGTGGCACATAAGTATTTATAGTAGTGTAAGTCAATACACAGCACATTTAACCAGATCATAAATCAAAACAGTCTAAATAAAATGAATTAGGCAAAAAGCAGTTTTATTTTGATTGATGATTTTATAGTATGAGTATTAAAAAGTATACCATAGAGTTAATGTTTATTTCCCTTCTGTATCTCTTGTGGCAAAATAGGTGCTAGAAATTTATGAGCATATTTTCAACTGGGCATAAATATTTATAGAGCCTTAGAGAATATGCTACCTCCATCCTTTAATAAAACCTCACATTCAGGTATTAGAGATAACTATTTATGCACTCCTTTGTTTATTCAACAAGCATGTACTGTTCATTGTGAGCTACAAAGCAATGTGCTAGACACCAAGGATCCCAAATCAAATGTTCTATTTATCCTCAAGGAGACTAGAGGGAAAGATGGTGTTTTAGTCTCTGCTGCTATAACAGAATACCACAGAATGGGTAATTTATAGTGAACATGAATTTATTGCCTCATGGTTCTGGAGGTTGGGAAGTCTAAGATCCAGGGGCCAGCATCTGATGAGGGCCTTCTTGCTGCATCATTCCATGGGAAAAGGCCAAAGAGTGAGCGAGAAAGAGCAAGATATGAATGTGTGGTCTCAAGCCCTTTTATAATTGGCCTTGATCCATTCATGAGAATGGAGCCCTGATGACCTAAATACCTCCCATTAGGCTTCACCTCCCAACCATTGCATTGGAGATTAAGTTTCCAGCAAATGGTTTTTTGGTGGGACACATTCAAACCATAGCATGTAGCAGTATATCAATTTTCATAGTACATTGTGATAAGTTCTATAAAAGAGAAATGCTCTGGGTGCCAGGGTCTTGGTGGAGAAGCATCAAAATCAAATGATGGGATTCAGGATGTTTTTCTGGAAGAAGAAATACATTTAAAACATTTTCATCAGAGGGTAACTCAAGCCATCAGATTTGCATTTTGGAATAATAACTCTGGTAGCAGTTTGGAGGCTGTTGGGAATAAGGCCAGACTGGAGATATGGACACCCATTCTTGGGAGATCAGCGTGTTAAGTGTAGGATAATGGATAGTATAAATATGGACACCATATACTTGGGAAACCAGTGTGTCAAGTGTAGGATAATGAGAACCTGAACTATGTCAGTGACAGTAGAAATGTCAAGAAGAGATGCCAGAGTATCAACACAGCAATGATTTGGAGTCAAAGAATTTTAGAAAGTGAAGGGATTGTGGATGGTGAAGGCCTATATTTATACATTAGGAAACAATAGCCCAGAAAGTGATGCATACATATAATCTAAGTCTTAGTCAAAGGGGATATTATGACTTCAATATTCTCAGTGATGAACATGCAGTAACTTCAGAAATGTTTTGTGCCTTAAGATTAATATAATAATAATTTCTGTAATGGTCATAAATTCTAAAAATATATGTTTTATTTTATGTATATTTGACTTTTAACCTTGAACAAATCAGAAACTAAAAAGATAAGCCTGGTTTTTTAATCAAAGCTGATTAAATCATATAAATTATTTGAGCCAAAGGTTGCCTCTTAAGTAACCTAATATTTTTCAGAAAAATATTTTTATGGTTCATTTCCAACATAAATTTATAAAATCATTTTATGTCATGCAACTTTTTTTGATGATCGCAGGGTTCTTAATTCTTAATGGAAAAGATATTGGAAAGTTGTATAATTAAATGCGTGGTTGGACCTGTGGATACTGTGTTACTATTAATACTCATAAAAGTGACGATCTGAGTAGAGCATAAATGTAGTTTATAGAACCCTACCTGATAGGCTTGACCATTTTAAAACTATAGCTGGATCTAATGACAAATAAATTATAGGAAAAAATGACAAACTTTGATCAAAACAACTTATCTTTCTCTTTTCACCTTTAAGAATGATAACTAATATCAAGATATAATTTATATCTGACTGTAGTAATTCAGGGACATATCATCATCATTCAGTTTTCAAGTGCTTATATTGTTAAATGCACAGAGCAAATATAAGGTGTTCGACTAATTTGTGGTGTTAATGTTAGTTTCCTTTGGTGCCACATGAAGGTTCTTACATATCATGCTCTTAAAAACACTATAAAGTGGTTTACATAAAGATTTGACCTTAGAAAGATGAAGAATTTCTTCCTTTGATGATGATTCAAGTGCCTACAACAAGTTCTTACAGATCATTTTCTCTTTACTACACGTTTCCTAAATAAATAGCTTGTGGTATTTCAATTTAGGCACATCTTTAACATTTGGGACAACTTGAAGCACAACTCATTTAGTATCATTAAAATAGTACAGACTGTCATATTCTGTCTTAGCATAAGATATCTGGTAATTCCCAAGGCAGTTTAGTTCAGTGAGTTTAAAAAATTACATGTCTTCTTATTAGAAATTGTTGCCAGAACACATAATGAATATGATACCAATTTCCACTATATGGAAATTTATATTTTTTCAAAAGATATTACATTACTAAAGAAAGAAAGGCAGAATATAAATGGCAGATATTCATCACTGAATTTGTTTTTGAGACCACTTATAGTAATTATGTTACATAAGCCCAAAGAGTTTATATATGCTTGGATAGATTATATTTGTCATTTTAAGCATTGTTTTAACCAAGGATACAAATTTATGAAGTGTTTACAGGTTCAAAAATAATTTCCTATAAAAATAACATGAATAGGTCAAATGATTTGACTTTACCTTCAAAACTTATCCAGAATCTCACCTTCACTACTTTAACCTTGGTCCAAGCCACTGTCATCTCAGAACTGAGTTACTGTACTAGCTTCCCATTTAGTTGATTTCTTCGGAACAGGCTAGGCTTTAGCAGCAGTTAACTCTGAACTCTCCAAACCTCAGTGGCTTAACACCAAAATATTATGCATCTTCTTCACAAATGTCTACTTTATGTTTGCATGGGTAAGGATACTAGAGGAGCTTCTTATTGTCACTCAGGGATCCAGTCTGACAGAGGCTGAACCATGTATAAGGTCACCAGTTGAAGCAGCAGGGAAGAAAGAGACCGGAGAATCTTGTAGCCTCAGTATAGAAGAGACACATGTCACTAATGCCCACAGGTTGTCACCCAACACCAGTCATGTTGCCTCAACCCCATCTACACAGTGGTTGGGAAGCATACCTGCTCGTGAGCCCAGGCAGAAATGGGAACAGGATACTACTGGGCATTCATAATATCTCTCACACTGGTTTGGAAAATCCAAATTCCTTCCTTGCTACAAGAAAGTCTCAATGGGGCAGCCAAAAATGGTCATTTTAATGTGTTAGGTCATATCACTCCTTTGCTCAAAATCTTTGAATGGATGCATTTTTCACTCAGAGGAAAAACCAGTGTCCTTATTATGAAGCACAAAGTCAAATATACACCCACCCATGTGGCTCATTCCCTGACTTCCTGTAGGTCTGCTTAATAGAGAAGCCCTTCCTCATTACCCATTTTATTTCTCTCCATAGCACTCACCACTCTGATATTCTAACCAATATGGTTTTTTTAATATTTTTGTTGATTGTTTGTCTCTTCCTACTGGAATGTGACCTCAAAAGTGCAAGGACTCTTAAATTCACCATTTAAACCCTAATGCCTAGAATGGTGCCTGACATATTAGAATATGAATGAATGAATGAAATGCCCTAAAAACTGTATTGTGAATCCCATTTCCTCTGTGTAGTTAACTTGTTTGTCCTATCGTATTCCTCAAGAACTGGAGGAACTTACTTTCTTTTTTCCCTTGTTTCTTGAGGCCATCACAAAAATTAGTCGTAGAGGGACTTGTCCTGCTTAATGGGATCCAGGTTGAAAACAGTAAAAATAAGAGATTACAGCCAAACCTGGGGAACAGCTACTCTATTAAGAGATGTTATCAAGGAGAGGGAACCCTTCAGGTCAGCAGAGGCCTGATTTGGGGTGATTGTAAGGATGGCTTCTGAGTCAAATTGAATTAATGAGAATACAATATAGAACCATAAAAGGGTCTGTTTCTCAGCCTTACTAAATTCATTCTTAGGATGGGATTGTATTTGATTTTTGAAGTGAGAAAAGCTTATCAGAATGCCATTTTATATACAAAAATTGTAGTACATTTAAGATTTCTAGTGGGCAGACTCATTATTAACATGAAAAGCAGATGAAAATATATACACGTTATTATATATGTACACATTTCTATTAGTAAAGGGGTGAATATTTACAAAATAAAGAGAAAGAGTTAAAGATAACATAAAAAGTGCTGATCTGACTTTAATAGTCGCAAAAGGAAGAATATTAATACCCTTTTAAGTTCACTTGACAGGAGGTGAACTGTCAAAGAAGGAAAGACAGAAGGGAGTCTGGGTGAATTATTTGCTGGTGTGAGACTGAGGATTTTTATGCCTGAATGGAACTTGAGTTCCTTGCCAGTGGGCAGTCTAATATACCAGAGCCAAAACCCAGGCATATACGATTAGCAGAAGGTCTTGAAAACAAGGTAGTCATGGGCTGGTACTTTTTTTTTTTATTACTGCATGTGTTTTTATTATTATTATTATTATTATTATTATTATTATTATTATACTTTAAGTTTTAGGGTACATGTGCACAATGTGCAGGTTAGTTACATATGTATACATGTGCCATGCTGGTGTGCTGCACCCATTAACTCGTCATTTAGCATTAGGTATATCTCCTAATGCTATCCCTCCCCCCTCCGCCCACCCCACAACAGTCCCCCGAGTGTGATGTTCCCCTTCCTGTGTCCATGTGTTCTCATTGTTCAATTCCCATCTATGAGTGAGAACACGCGGTGTTTGGTTTTTTGTCCTTGCGATAGTTTACTGAGAATGATGATTTCCAATTTCATCCATGTCCCTACAAAGGACATGAACTCATCATTTTTTATGGCTGCATAGTATTCCATGGTGTATATGTGCCACATTTTCTTAATCCAGTCTATCATTGTTGGACATTTGGGTTGGTTCCAAGTCTTTGCTATTGTGAATAGTGCAGCAATAAACATACGTGTGCATGTGTCTTTATAGCAGCATGATTTATAGTCCTTTGGGTATATACCCAGTAATGGGATGGCTGGGTCAAATGGTATTTCTAGTTCTAGATCCCTGAGGAATCGCCACACTGACTTCCACAATGGTTGAACTAGTTTACAGTCCCACCAACAGTATAAAAGTGTTCCTATTTCTCCATATCCTCTCCAGCACCTGTTGTTTCCTGACTTTTTAATGACTGCCATTCTAACTGGTGTGAGATGGTATCTCATTGTGGTTTTGATTTGCATTTCTCTGATGGCCAGTGATGGTGAGCATTTTTTCATGTGTCTTTTGGCTGCATAAATGTCTTCTTTTGAGAAGTGTCTGTTCATGTCCTTCGCCCACTTTTTGATGGGTTTGTTTGTTTTTTTCTTGTAAATTTGTTTGAGTTCATTGTAGATTCTGGATATTAGCCCTTTGTCAGATGAGTAGGTTGCAAAAATTTTCTTCCATTTTGTAGGTTGCCTGTTCACTCTGATGGTAGTTTCTTTGCTGTGCAGAAGCTCTTTAGTTTAATTAGATCCCATTTGTCAATTTTGGCTTTTGTTGCCATTGCTTTTGGTGTTTTATACATGAAGTCCTTGCCCATGCCTATGTCCTGAATGGTAATGCCTAGGTTTTCTTCTAGGGTTTTTATGGTTTTAGGTTTAACATTGAAGTCTTTAATCCATCTTGAATTAATTTTTGTATAAGATGTAAGGAAGGGATCCACTTTCAGCTTTCTACATATGGCTAGCCAGTTTTCCCAGCACTATTTATTAAATAGGGAATCCTTTCCCCATTGCTTGTTTTTCTCAGGTTCGTCAAAGATCAGATAGCTGTAGATATGCGGCGTTATTTCTGAGGGCTCTGTTCTGTTCCATTGGTCTATATCTCTGTTTTGGTACCAGTACCATGCTGTTTTGGTTACTGTAGCCTTGTAGATAGTTTGAAGTCAGGTAGAGTGATGCCTCCAGTTTTGTTCTTTTGGCTTAGGATTGACTTGGCGATGTGGGCTCTTTTTTGGTTCCATATGAACTTTAAAGTAGTTTTTTCCAATTCTGTGAAGAAAGTCATTGGTAGCTTGATGGGGATGGCATTGAATCTATAGATTACCTTGGGCAGTATGGCCATTTTCACGATATTGATTCTTCCTACCCATGAGCATGGAATGTTGTTCCATTTGTTTGTATCCTCTTTTATTTCGTTGAGCAGTGGTTTGTAGTTCTCCTTGAAGAGGTCCTTCACATCCCTTTTAAGTTGGATTCCTAAGTATTTTATTCTCTTTGAAGCAATTGTGAATGGGAGCTCACTCATGATTTGGCTCTCTGTTTGTCTGTTATTGGTGTATAAGAATGCTTGTGATTTTTGTACATTGATTTTGTATCCTGAGACTTTGCTGAAGTTTCTTATCAGCTTAAGGAGATTTTGGGCTGAGACAATGGGGTTTTCTAGATATACAATCATGTCATCTGCAAACAGGGACAATTTGACTTCCTCTTTTCCTAATTGAATACCCTTTATTTCCTTCTCCTGCCTAATTGCCCTGGCCAGAACTTCCAACACTATGTTGAATAGGAGTGGTGAGAGAGGGCATCCCTGTCTTGTGCCAGTTTTCAAAGGGAATGCTTCCAGTTTTTGCCCATTCAGTGTGATATTGGCTGTGGGTTTGTCATAGATAGCTCTTATTATTTTGAGATACGTCCCATCAATACCTAATTTATTGAGAGTTTTTAGCATGAATGGTTGTTGAATTTTGTCAAAGGCCTTTTCTGCATCTATTGAGATAATCATGTGGTTTTTTTCTTTTGTTTTGTTTATATGCTGGATTACATTTATTGATTTGCGTACATTGAACCAGGCTTGCATCCCAGGGATGAAGCCCACTTGATCATGGTGGATAAGCTTTTTGATGTGCTGCTGGATTCTTATCAAGGGCTAACTTGTGAGAGCTGCTTCTGTTGCAGCGAATTCCATTGTGATCATCTTAATATGCTCCTTTTTTGTTTTTATCTGAGGTGTAATAAGTAGGCTGTGTATAATGGTAGAAAATGACATAGGGTGGTCTTTGAGAAAATTCTTCACAAGATTCTATTATGTATACATGAAAATGGTAGCATTTATTGCTCATTTCTGAGGACATGACAACTAGTATTTTTAGACAACTCTTTCCTAAACTATTAAGTATTGCAGAAGTCATAAACTAAAGCCCTATTAGTCATCTTTCTCCAGAGAACCAGAGCCAATAGGCTATCTATATATACACACACAAACACATATATGTATATGATTATAAATATATATGCATTATATACATTATGAATGTATATATACATGTATACTTGTGTATACATATATATGTACATACATACACACATTTATTTATTTATTATAAGGAATTGGCTCAGACAGTTATAGAGACTGAGAAGTCCCAAAATTTCCAGTAAGCAAGTTGAAGACCTGGAAGTGCTGATGGCATAGTTCCAGTCTAGGTTCCAAGACACAGGCCCGAGGTGTAATTTCCAGTCTAAGTCCATGTCAGAATCCAGTGGCAGAACTAATGTCCCAGCTCAAAGACATTCCAGGAAAGAGACAGAATTTTCTGTTACTCAGCCTTTTTGTTCTATTCAGTCCTTCAACAGATTAGATGAGGCCCGTTCTCTATGGAAAAGACAATATAGTTTACTCGGTCCATTGATTCCCATGTCAATCTCATCCAGAACACCCTTACAGATATGTCAGTAATAACATTTAATGAAATATCTGGGCACTCCATGGTCCAGTCAAGTTGACACATAAAATTAACTATTGTATTCATGAAAAATAAATTCCTTTTTTTATGGGGATTGGTTTTCTGGTTAAAAAATATATGTTCACTATCTTGGGTATCTTATAAACTAAGCTATTCCTTATGATTATGAGGATTTTCTTTCTGCGAAAGATGGTTCATTCGCCATTTTTGGATCTTCCACTGGGTACTATAGTTGTCAGTTTCAGAACCTTTGTATGTTTCAGATATTCATTTAGTTAACTGAGAGGAATAAACTGTCTACTCAAATAATAACCCAATTTCTACCCACTGTTGTGGTTTATACTACAAGATCTCAATCCTGGGTGCATAGCAGTATCATCTAAGGAAACATATCTCTTGCTTCTGGCATGATTTTTAATCACATGCCCAGGGATCTATCCAATGGTCTAAAATTCCATATCACCTAAGCCCACATAGAAACGGTGATCACAGTTTTTAATCAAAAATAGAGACACACAGTGAGGAAGAATGTACATATAAAGTTAATGGAATATAATATTTGAAATCAAGACAAATCTGGACAATGAAAATTCATATAACTCTTTATACAAGTCAACATAAGAATAGAGCAGGTAGGCATGCAATTTCTAAAGGTAGATGCTTGTGTTAGTCTGCTTTGTTTTTCCATAAAGGAGTACCTGAGGCTGGGTAATTTATAAGAAAAGAGATTTATTTGGCTCATGGTTCTGGAGATCGTACATCTTCTCAGCTTCTGGTGAGGCTTCAGGAAGCTTTTACTAGTAGCGGAAGGCGAGGAGAGCCAGTGTGTCACATGATGAGAGGGGGAATAGGAGAGAAAGCAGGAAGGTGCCAGGTTCCTTTTAACAATCAGTTCTCACACGAACTAATGGAGCGAGAACTTGCTGATTACCATGATAAAGGCATCAAGCCATTGATGAGAGATCCACTCCCATGACCCATATACCCGCCACTAGGGCCCACCTCCAACACTGGGGATCAAATTTTCATATGAGATTTGAAAGGGATAGATATTCAAACTATATCAGTGTTCAAATAAACTATAACCTGGATTTTGGACATTAGAGTCAATTGTATCTACTATTGACAGAGTTAAAAAACAAAATAATAAAATGCAGATTGATTAAAGAAGAGTCACTCTAGGCTAACTGAATTGCTTGTGGGGATACATACACATCAGTGTCATTTACAACAAGGGTGTGGAATAGAAATAACCACTCAGATATTGAAAGGGGCATCAACATCATACTACTGTTCCTAAAGATAACAAGAGAGATATATGGTGAATTTGAAGCAGCCCTGAACCATCGAAATCGGTGGAAGAACGTTTAGAATCTCATTAGCTGATATGCAAAGCAAATGTCAGGTAGAGATTGAGAGATTGTTGAGTAGTCTTGGAGAAAGTGGCAGCTGAAAACAAGAAAAATGAAAAACCCCAATCCTTGTCCTTATTCTTGTCCTGTCAATCATGGAGCTTAGAGACAACCGAGGCACACAGAAGGTTCAGCCTTTACTGGCAAGGATTACTAGAGTAAAAAAACTGATGCTATCCATAATGGATAGGGTGGTGGTAGGAGCTTGAGAAGCAAAAATAAAAATGAAGAGGAGATTGTCAATTAAGAGTGGGTGTAAGGACTAATAAAGACTTGTTCAAATTTGGTATTGGGTTTTGGGAGTGGTAGGAGTGAGCTAAAAAACCTAGTAATAATATTGATAATAACAATATTCATAACATTTTGTTGAGTACTTATTATGCACCATGCACTGTTCGAAGCACTTTACATATATGAACTTATTTAATTTGCATGTCAACCTGTAAAGTAGGTACTATTAATTGGTCCCAGAGACAGGCTACCTCATTTGGTTAGGGTGACACTAGAGATGAAATTCCAACCCAAGTGAGCCAACTCCAAAGCCTGTCCTCTTAAGTATAGGTATGTGCTTATTATACTTAAGTTTGTGCTCTGAAGTATGACAACAACTAAAGGCATCTGTGTCTAGATGGCTCTTCATGAAAATCCTGCTTTTTACACGCACATCATTATTGTGGATGTAGGAAAGTTTAAATGTAACAGGAGTTTGCTGAACAAAGGCTAATATGTTGTCTACTAGGCAACCCTTTTATAAGGCTGCTGGGTGAATGAACATGGACAGGGATGAGCACATCAGAGTAATTTAGGTTCCAGAGCTGCTGAGCTCTAACAACTTTGTCTCTCCATCTCATGTAGGAAAAATTCTGTCTGGGAGGCAATGGTGCCCCTCCCCTTTAGACAGTGCTTAGAATGGCTCCACCAACTTCAGTTTCACAGAGCTGGCCCTTTCTCCAGTCCACATTAATTTCCCATTAGGCTGACATTTTTTCTTAGATATGTTATTATTACTTGAGCCTTTGGCCTGGAAATCAGAAATCTCTTCAGTGTTGCAATTTCTTTCCTCTGATCCATTTTGTGATCATTTCATATAGTTTAACCCTCACCGTGTAATCTTATTTCCAAAAATGTGGCCTGCCTATATATATATATGATACAAAAGGAATAAGAAAATCACTTGGCTAAACAGGACCTCAAGAGGGAACCTAATATATGTCATAGCCAGTAGGCAAAATCTTCTCCTTCCCAATATATATAAGCAGTCTAATTTAATCATCCTAATGGTTATCTTTAGACATTTTTATTTACATTAAAATGAACATTCCATTTCTCTTGCTGTCTCTGTCGCATATTTGTGTCTTTTGTGTGTAAACGTGCACACTCATGCACATAGTCACAAACAATCATAATTCAGATTCTGGATATGTCCAAATGAATGAATTTGGTGTGAGATTCTTTCTCCCCATACAAGGTTGTGGAAAAGAGCACAGACCCTGGAGGCATTCAGACCTGAGCTAAAAATCATGAGTGACTGAAGAATTACTTAATCTCTGCTAGCCTTGGTTTTCTTATCTGTAAACTGGGAGTAAGAATAGTATACACCTAATAGAGTTAAGAAGTTTAAACAAGCAAAAAAAATGGACAAATTCTTACTGCAATAATATGTATTATTTAATACTAAACAACTATAAATTTTATTATTTGAAGTAGTTGCATGCCTTTCTTCAAAGCAGCATTGTTTTTTCAGAAATATTTGAAATTCTGTGTCAGAACAGAACGAACAATATTTTGGAAACTATCACAAAATATGAATTCGTGTTTTTAAATTTAGCAAAGGTAATAGGGACAAAGGAAGTCTTCTCCGAAAAAAACTAAAGGACACCCCAGTTCTAAAAAGTTATATTTTATTTGGTTATGTAATTTGTGCAATATTTCATCTATAATCTACTGTCACCTTCTGGGGAGAAAAAAATAGCTCAGTCTGTCATCCCCAAACTGTGACATTCCTTTTATGACTGCAAAGTACCCTGTGGAGATGGTAGATGCCAGGCTTTTTAAGACTTTACAAAGACTGGAGGCCAACTGCTTTCAAACAGAAATATTTACCGAGAAGCTAATCCATGTATCAGAGATCTGAAGAGAGAGAGCATGACTAACCACTGAAAATAGGGCTCATTAATGGAGCAATCTGCAATGAGCCCAGAGGGAAGTTCTCTCATTCTAGAAAGGATGTGTTTAAAAGGAAAGGCCAAGAAATGGAGTTAGATCAAATGATATATTTGAAGTAAGGAGTTGAACAAACTGACTTGAGTGAATATTAATCATAGTGAACAAAATGGGCCCGTTAAGTTATTACAGTTCATCATATGGTCTTCATTCCAAAATATTTACTTATCTAACTGGGAATGTTGACCAGTACTTGATATTTTATAATAATGCAGGTAAGCATAATGTGTGCCTGACATAATTATGTGAGCTTTTGAAAACACTTTATTGTCATAAGATGTAGCGAGGACCTGCTGATTATCATTAGACAGCTTGTGTATTTAGGTAATGAATGATTTGGTAATAGTTTTTATTCAGGCTTATGCCAGAAACAGATTTATTTTTAAATTATTTTGCTAAAAGATAGGAAAAGCTGACATGTGATGTTTAGCAGTAAGTTTTCCCAGGTGGGTAGCTGTTTGTTTTAGTATGGGAGAACTTATTTTTAAAACCCTTTTTTGTGAGTTTAAAGGGGCAATGGACTTAATTGTTCTGGTCATGCAAAATATCTTTTATTCTGGATGTCTTCTGACTTTATATTTTGAATATATATCTATTTCAAATATCTATCTATCTATCCATCTGTCTGTCTATCTGTCTGTCTTTCTCTCCTGACTGTCACAGGACAGAAGCAAAGAGAGAGGATCCATCAACTGAAGAGTCATTAGCACTGGTTGTTTTTAATATACGCCATCATTGAATTCTCTCAGCAACCCTTTAAAAATTGGGTGTTATTATTACCCTCCCTTTGTAAATTGGGAAATTGAAGCAACTTCAATTTCCCAATTTCCCAAGTAATGAATTAAGTAAGACCCAAAATGGGTCTTGGATTCAGATTCCGTGTTCTCACATGTTCCCTTCAATAATGTGGATCTTTCATGGGGTCCCCAGTGGTTTTCATCATCTTAGTCAAGAGGAGAGAGTATAAAGACACCCCTTAATTTAAGACTAGATTATCCCTTCATCATTGGGAAAGTTGAGGCATTTGACCTAAGCTAAAAGTGAATGAAGCAGGAGGTAGAACCCTAGGACCACTCATAGATGGAGCTGCTTGTTAGACTACATAGCAGGCTCTGGCAAGTGGGCTCTCTGGGATGAAGTGGTGCAAGCAAGGGGAGAAGATCAATATAAACGTGCTTGATGGTATAGGGTAATTGATATTTATTTCATACCAAGGCACTGTAAAGTGAACATAAAAAGTCTTAAAACTGTGGAAAGAGTCATCTGTGGTGTTAGAAGTCAGAAGAGTGGTTATGCATAGGGTGGTGAGTAGTGACTGGAAGACAGCACAAGACAGGCTTCTGGAATTCTGGTAAAATCTCTTTCTTGATCTATGTGCTGGATGAATAATGGTTACAATTTGTAAAATTCAAAGAGCTCTACATTATAATGCATGCATGTCTAAGTTTTTATTATTCTCCGTTATGTTTATTTTATTCTTTGTTTGCATATAATTGTATTTCTGTTTCCACATTATCTGGTCCCAAAGGTATTAGTTTTTAACAAGTTAGTCAGTGTCTTTTAAAATTATATGTACCATAGGCGAGGCACAGTGGCTCACACCTGTAATCCTAGCACTTTGGGAGGCCGAGGCGTAGATCACCTGAGGTCAGGAGTTCGAGACCAGCCTGGACAATATGGTGAAACCCCATCTCTACTAAAAATACAAAATTAGACAGGGGTGCTGGCAGGCGCCTGTAATCCTAGCTACTTGGGAGGCTGAGGCAGGAGAATCGCTTGAACCCAGGAGGTGGAGGTTGCAGTGAGCAGAGATTGCACCACTGTACTCCAGCCTGTGTGACAGAGTGAGACTTCATCTCAAAAAATAAGAAAAATTACATGTATGACAATGTATAATAAAACTCACACACGTGTGTGTGTATGTCTCAAGCCTGGTTTGATTCCATCTCAACTTTGTGGCAGTGGGACAGTCACAGAAGGCAAATTGGCTCTGAGAAATGCAATCACATTTTTGTGCAATATAGACAAAATGGGAAAAAATAATACTAATGCTTTCTGAATGAAAGGAAAATATCAAGTATAGAATCATTGAAGGAAGAATTTATCATTGAAAGTTTAGGTGATATAAGCAAGGAATTTGATTATATGAAATATCACTGTCTCCACACAGAGAAAATTGAAGGCTGAAGAAAAACATGTTTTGTGATTATAGCTTACCAATGTTAGAAGGCCCTGTGATCTATCTCAGGGATTTGGACCTTGAAATCAGGTGGAAACTATTATCCTAACAAACACTTCTCTTCCAAAATTCCATCCTTCTGAAACTGTGCTGGTCTCTCATAATTAAGTCATTTATAGCTACCATCTCCCCTCTGTAGAAGTTTTTAGTGCAAGTGGTGTTAGACTTGGAACATGGCACAGAGGAGTGGAGATCTTAATGTTTCTTGACTAAATTCCACATAGGTCACTGACTGAAAATCTGCCTGTGTGTGACCATCTCTAATAAAACTTCATCTTATGATAGGCTTTTTGCAAATAAGATACTTAAGAATAACACACTTCAATTTACCATGGATTATACCTGTATCAGGACAACATGAAAGAAAATTTAACCATTGTAAAGGACAGATCAATTTTAAGTGGAATTTGCTCTTATCACAAAGTCTAAAGATAAATGCAGGCAAATTTCTCAGCAAAAAAGAGAAAAGGATACAACACATTGTTCATAAAATACAAAGAAGCAGCAAGCTCTCAAGAGACAAAAAGAGAACAGATTGCTTAACTACAAAGTGGGAACTTAAGCTTTCCATTCACAGATGTAAAAATAAAACAGGACCCCAGGTTACCATGGATGAAGATATGGCAGAAATCTTAAGCTATTGTATCTTTGGTTTTGTAATCAAAATCTAAGCAATTGATTAAAATCAGGTTGCAGATATTTTCAGTATAATTGTCCCTAATCACACATTCCAAGAGGAAGTTGTAATGAAACTTTTGAGTAGAAAGTCAAAACACAAAAGAAGAGTTGGCATGAATTACCCTTGGGTGAGTGTATCATGAGGTTAGATTTTGAGGAACACATTAGGAGTTAAATTCCAAATGCCCTGTACTGTTGGGAGCAAGGTATAAGATATTTGAGTAACAGTTTCATTATTAACTAATTTGTGATCTTTTTATTTCAGTGGAGCATAAGGGATATGATAAAAATTTGCTACAAATAAACGACAGCTTTGTTGAACAGGAACACATTTTTTTTTTTTTAGATTTTACAACAATAGAACGGGCCAAATATCCTTGTAAATTACATTAATGAGACAGATTGCTACTTTTAATGGAGGCTCTGTGCTCTACATTGTGCCTTATGCAAATTTGCCAGTTAATAAGCCTGAACAGTGTTTCTGTTTGAGGAAAATGAATCTGAAACGATTGTCAGATTATCTGTTTGGCATGCCTGGCTGGTGTCTGGAATGGCACTTTGCTAATGTGCTATTACTCAGTGTCATTAACCCACACAAATGATTGAAAGGTGAATTTATATGTGTACCATGGGGCTCAGCACAGGGAACAGGCTTCAGTGAAATGAGGCTGCAAAGGATAAAATGAACCATTCATTTTTTACCTCGGTTTTCATGTGCTCACTTTAAAGACAGATGATATTTAAATACATGAAAAAGAATGAGACAAAACTATTACTTAAAAAACACAACTTTGCATTGCATTAATGAATTAAAAGTTATGTAGTTGAAAGATGAGTATTCCTCTCCCCCTCATGATCCTCATACCTGGGAGATAGTGGCAAAAAGGGCATATCAATTAAATACCTTTGAATCTATCTCATATAAGAATATTTTGGACACTTTAATTTAAAACTCATGATGGAAATGTGAAATGAAAGGCTTCTCCTTCATGAGAAGAATTTAATTTACACTTCTGCAAATTAATTAAAATACTTTAAAATGGAAAACTTATTTTTTAAAATAATACAGATTAATACAGCAAAGCCATCAAATGGAAGTTATGAAATATTTTCTAGTTTGTCTCTTTAATATCTTGTTTGATATTTCTTCACTGGGTATTTTAACACACATCTATCCTTTTGAATTTCAAGGGCATTGGAAATTTTGAATAAGCCTGTAAATAAAAGTTCACGCCCTTATTCTTACAAAATAAACAGAAAACATCCTCTTAATGTGATTCTTTCTGCACAGCTAGACTTATTTTCAGACTTAACAGAGACACTTGAGGCCTAAAATACCTCTAACCTAGCTGGTCTTACTCTATGTTTTAAGGCTATTTGGAATTTAAAAAGAGAAAAGAAATCAGACTTAAAAAAAAAAAGACAAAATGCATACAGGCGTAAAGTTTTTTGACAGTGCGTTTATGGAACTCATCCTTACATCACGTGCTGTTAAGATTCATAAAGAAATTAACAGGGGCATCCCCTCAAAACTGTTAAAGTTATGTATGTGCCTATATGCCTATGCATGAAAGGAAATTTGACGTAAAAATATAGAAAAGCAAACTGTGTTAAGAAAAAAATTACTCTTCCAATAAGATGTCATGATATCAATGAATTTGAGGGCCATGTTGACAGGCAGTGAGTCTTGGGTCAGGGTGTGGTAAACTGCATGTCAGGGGGGTCCAAGTACTCATGTAAACTGCAGGTTCCCAGGAATGCTTTCTTGTTTATCTCTGAAATGCTGTGTTCAGTGGCTAATTTTCTCTGCTGTGATATTCTTTTACCCAGGAAATCCCTTTATTTAAACACTGCGTAATTTCTAATGACCTTTTTGAGTGGTGTCATCTTTCTATTCCTAGTACATTCAAAGGTCTTGTAAATTACATGTTGGTACACTTACATGAAGTATATAATCCATGAAAACTTATCCACACATTGTTATGCTTTTAGCGTAATATATTTAGGTTATTTTTATTCATCCAATTTCAAACAAAAATCACCATTTCCAAGGAAAATCATTTTTTCTACTTTTAATTCCAGCCTTCTCAGTAACGGCTTACCACCCCCACCCCGCCCTCATAGAAATAAGGAATTTTAAGTTCCAGCCAGTCTTCCTATATTTAAATTTAAGAAGTTGCATGAAGGATATTTCCAAATTTCCTAATTTAGGCTCATTTTACTTGGATAGTGATTTCCATCCTTGGATTTTTTTTTCTTTCATAAGGATAAAAAACTTCAAAAGTATATCCTGACACTCATGATGGCTAGAACTTTTTCAGTACCATTAATCTTGTTGAAAAATTAAATATTTCATACTTCTTTTTTGTTTTTATCAAGGAAACCCTTACAAATTAAAATGAATAATTAGTAATTTCTGCTTAGCTAAGCAAATAGACCACGAGAGTAATTCAGGCTCGTGAGAAATGGCTTTTCTTTATCGTTTAAAAATATTTATCAAATCAAAATGTTGCTTCTTTTCCTCCTCTAGTTATAAATGCTTGTTAAGTATAAACTTTGATGTGCATCTGACTTATTTCAAAAGCATTTTGCAATAGCCTTTTGAGTGTGCACTTTGTTCACGCTTAAGTTTATTGCCATCACATACTGCTATTTTTTTCTGACTCTTCACTCTGCCCTTTATTGTCCACTACCTGCCCCTCTCCCCCAACACTAGAGCTACTCAAGGTGGGCTGCCCCTTCCAAGGCTATATCTCATTCACAGGCACAGTCCCTATCTCCTTCCCAGATGTTGTATACTCATGGTGCCGTCCATTCTCTGTCGACCAGGTAACCCAAGGTAAACTGATCAACAGAACCATGTTAATTTGTTCATTTATTCTTCTTTTTAAAATACATTTGACCCTTGAACAACATGCGTTTGAACTAAGTGGGTTAACTTATACTTGGATTTTTAAAAAATAAATATATGGAAAAACATTTTTGGAGATTGTAGCAATTTGGAAAACATTGCAGGTGAACTCGAGTAGCCTAGAAATGTAGAAAAAATTAAGATAAAGTTAGGTATGTAATGAATGTAAAAAGTATACATACATACTAGTCTATTTTATCATTTACTATCATAAAATATACACAAACCCATTCGAAAAACATAAAATATATCAAAACTTATGTGCACAAATACAGTCTGTGCATAGTACTATTTGCAATCCAAAGAAATGTAAACGAACATAAAGATGCAGTATTAAATAATAGCTGCATAAAATTCACCTTAGTACATACTGTAATAATGGTGTAGCCACCTCCTGTTGCTATTGCAGTGAGCTCCAGTGTTAAAAGAT
Source organism: Homo sapiens (assembly GCF_000001405.40). NCBI lineage: Eukaryota > Metazoa > Chordata > Mammalia > Primates > Hominidae > Homo > Homo sapiens. Next base: position 95,469,909 of record NC_000004.12, on the reverse strand, counting down.
CCACTAAAAACACTCTTTGATGCTATTTATATCTGCATGAGCAATTTGTCTCTCCAGTAAATTGTGTACCACGGTAAAAGTGATGTCTCTGGGTTCCCACATGTTTATTTTCTTGTTTAGTGCAATACAGTAAACTTTGATTAACACCATGGGACCTACATGAAGTGCCACTAGTAATGCTGAAAGTGCTCCCAAGAAGCAGAAAAAAAGTCATGACATTACAAGGAATAGTTGACTTGCATGATATATACCATAGCTTGAGGCCTGCAGCTGCAATTTCCCATCATTTCAAGATAAATGAATACAGTTTAAGGACGATTGTAAAAAAAAAGAAAGGAAATATGTGAAACCGTCACTGCAGTTATGCTAGCAGGCATGAAAACCTTGTACTTTTTGCAAAATACATTTTTATCTTGTACTGAAAATGCAGCCTTTATGTGGGTGCAGGGTTATTATAAGAAAGGCATACTTTTGACTCACATATGATTTGAGAAAAAAATGAAGACATTGTATGACAACCTAAACCAAAAGGAAGGTGAAAGATCTGAAGCTGAAGAATTTAATACCAGCAAAGGATGGTTCGATAATTTTAGAAAGATTTTAAATGTCAAGATAACAGGAGAAGCAGCTTCAGTTGACCAGGTGGCAACAGTGTCCAGACTCCATTAAGAAAATCATTGAGAAGAAACAATATCTGCCTGAACAAGTTTTTAATGCAGGCAAAAGTGACCTAGTCTGGGAACGAAGAAATGCCGCAAAAGAAATTTACTGGTAAGGAAGAGAAGTGAGCTCCAGCAATTAAGGGAGGGAGGAATAGGCTAACTCCAGTTTTTCACGCAAATGCAGTCAGGGTTATGACTGGAACTGCCCTTATCTATAAAGCAGTTAACCCCTGATCCTTGAAGGAAAAAGAAAAACATCAGCTGACAGTCTTTTGTTTGTAAACAATAATGCCTGAGCAAAGAGAACCCCTTTTGTGAATTGGTTTCACTGATGCTTTGTCCCTAAAGTCAGGAAGTACCTTGCCAAAAAGGGACTGCCTTTTAAAGTTCTTTTTTTATTGAACAATGTTGCTGGCCACCCAGAACCCCATAAGTTCAACACCGAAGGTGTCAAAGTGGTCAACTTGCCCCCAAACACAACATCTGTAATTCAGTCTCTAGATCAGGTGTCATTAAGACCTTTAAGGCTCATTAAACATAGTCCTCTATGGTAAAGATTGTCAATGATATGGAAGAGAACCTCCATAGAGAGAACATTATAAAGGTTTGGAAGAATTACACCATTGAATATGCCATCATTGTTATAGAAAAAATCCTGAGAGCCATCAAGCCTCAAACAGTAAATTCCTGCTGGAGAAAACTGTGCCCAGATGTTGTACATGACTTCACGGAATTTATGACAGAGCTAATCAAGGAAATGATGAAAGATATTATGGATATAGCAAAAAAGATGGAGGGTAAAGCATTTCAAGATATAGATCTTGGAGAAATTCAATAGCTAATAGCCACCATGCCAGAGAAACTAACAGAAGAGGACTTGATGGAGATGAGCACTTCCAAACCAGTGCCAGATAATAAAAAAAGACAGAGAAGAAGCAGTACCAGAAAATAAGTTGATATTAGACAATCTAGCAGAAGGGTTCTGATTATTCAAGGCTGCTTTTCACTTCTTTTACAACATGGATCTTTATGTGATATGAAACTAAAGCAAATGGTGGAAGGAAGATTGGTACTTTATACAAAAGTTTTAAAGAAATGAAAAAACAAAAAAAAAAAAAACCCAAAAAACAGATATTATGATGTATTTCAGTAAAGTCCGCCAAGTATGCCTTCCTCTCCTGCCTCCCTTTCACTTCCTCCACCTCTGCCACCACCCTTGAGAGACTACAAGACCAACCCCTCCTCATCCTCCTGCTCCTCAGCCACATGAAGAAAATGAGAATGAAGACCTTTATGATGATCCACTACCTATTAATGAGTAGTAAAGATATTTTCTCTTCCTTATGATGCTCTTAATAATATTTTCTTTTCTCTAGCTTTCCTTATTGTAAAAATACAGTATAAAGTATATATAACATACAATATATGTGTTAATTGACTGTTTATGTTATTGGTAAGGCTTCCAGTCACCAGTAGGCTATTAGTAGTTAAGATTTGGAGAATGAAAATTTATTCTCAGATTTTTGGCTATGTGAAGGGTTGGTGCCCCCTAAGCCCAGCATTGTTCAAGGGCTAACTGTATTGACCCTTCCTAAGAGACTTTCCTGGAATCAATACTTTTATGCAGTGACTATGCAGACACAGGGCATCATTTACCTTTCAAATAATTTCACGCTCTTATTTCTTATCTTTGGAATCCATGTAGTAATTTTCATTAACTACAGAAAATGTTGCCACATAATGATGATTGTAACTTCCAGTGATAATGTGAAAAGAAAATATATGCATGCTGCAAGGGTTGTGCCTGCTTCTCCCAGCCCCATTCTCTCTCTCTGTTTTTATCTGTGGGTTGATCTTTATATGTTTCTCTCTCTCCCTCTGCACACACACACTGATTGCATTTCCTGTTGTTCTATTCCTTCTCTATCTTCCAAAAAAAGTGATTGCATTCATTATCTATTGCTGCGTAACAAATTACCCCAACATTTAGCAGCTTAAAACAAAAACATTGGTCATTTCAACACTGGTTCTGAGGGTGGGGAATCTAGGAGTAGCTTAGATAGTTGGCTCTAGCTCAGAATCTCTCATTAGAGAGCAGTTAACCTGTCAGCAGGGGCCAGAGCCATCTGAAAGCTTGACCAGGGCTGGAGGATCTGCTCCCAAGTTGTGTCAGTCCTGTGGCTGTTGGCAGGAGGCCTCAGTTTCTCATCATGGCTCGAGTGTCATCATTACATGACAGCTGGCTTCCATGGAGCAAATGATCTAACACAGAGCAAGGTGCAAGCAGGAAGCCACAGTACCCTTTATTACCCACTCTCTAAAGCTGCACACCATTAGTAGTGAGTCACTAGATCCAGGCCACACCCAATGGGAATGAAGTTAGACTCCACCTCTTGAATGGCTAAATGACGTCGTATCAAAGAAATATGGACACACCTTAAAATCACCATCTTTCTTAAGAAAGAAAATATCTCTGGTCACTTCAATAACACTATAATGTGATTTATGAATGGCTTTTAAAAGTAAAACAATGAGTATCTCCTTTGAGGCCTGGGATTTTTTTTTTCTCGTATTCACCCTATGTCCATAGCTCAACTCAAGCATAGAACCTGGCAGATAGTAGCTGGTACTGAACAACTATAGCATTAATTAATTAATTAATGTCTTCAAATGCTGGGATATGTTTTCTAAACACTTGGAGTTTTACTACCAACATTTGCTCCTCTTGCTCTGCTTCTAATAATGTTAAACAGGGGAAAATGGAATTGAGGGTATTTATTCCTTTAATTAAAGATTGATTTAAAAAGTTACAAGCATCATAATTTATCTCTTAATTACTGTCCAAATGTATGTGAAGTTTATATGTAGTTTCATATATGTTGATTATCTGCTTTTAGAAGTCTTGTTTATTGTCTGTTACCTTCACTAGATTTTAAGCTCCGCAACGGCCAGGATTTTTGCCTATTTTGGGTAAGGCAGTATCCCCAAACTATGACATTGTGTGACTCTATGAGTAGGTACTCTATGAATGTTTATTAAATGAATTAATTAAAATTTTCACTAAGCTAAGGATGTCAGAACCTTGTCATTTGCAGGGATTTTGCTTAGACAATTATACATTGTCATACTTACTTGGAGATCTTCAAAATCCCTCTCCTTTTTCTCTGGGCTGAAGACTTCAGCATTAAAAACATATGATTGAAACACATACTTATTGCTGTTGCCAGTATACAGGCTCATCAGAATGACCAGGTTTACTTGACTAGCTTGTCGCTATATACCTTGGAAAGCATAGGGTAAGATAATGGGCAGAAAATCTCTACAGTCAAAGTATGGCAAAGAAAAGCTCTGAATATTGGTGAAGATAGAAAACATGTTCCAAGGCCCGGGCAGGAGTGCAGAAAGGAGAAAGGTCACTGGGGAAATTGCTTGTTTGTAATACCAGTCCTGAAATTAGAAATGAAATAGCATGTGCAAATCCAAACTTTTTTTTAACCTGACTGCTTTGGATCCATCTGTGTATTTTGTCATCATTAGCTTTTCTAATTTCTAGGATACAAATTGCTGTAGATCCTAAAATAAGCTACTGAATATTCTCTATTCATTTTTACGCACCCCATATGTTACCCAAAATGATGGGCAAATCTACCTTAAAGAACCACCAAATCTGTTCAGAAAGGATGGCACTGGGAGAAAGACTATTTGGCTTTCTTCCTACATGGAAGAAAAGAAACACCTCCAGAGGAGCTAGGACATTTTGTGAACCCTACACGATATTGTAGCATAACACAATGATTCAAATACTTGTCAAGTTCAAAGTGACTTTAGAGACTACATATTCTAACCTCCCCTTACAACATTAGATAATTTGGATAATTTTCCACTTCAAGTATGTCAACACGATGGTTTTGATGATTGCACTTCTTTTGTTCCTACTTTAGAGATGGGAGGGACTGGCTGCAATATACCTTGAGAGGCTATCCCCTGGCAGGGATTAGTCATGTTAGGAGTCTCTTCAAAATAACTCATCTGCTTCCCTTCCTCAGCATTCCTCTGTCTTTGTGGCTGTTTGTTTTAAATTTTTTATTGTTTACTTAACATAGCCTGCAAGTGACCCATACGGTATTCATTTGGAACGATGCGCCTTAGTGAGGCTTTTTATGACACCCTGCAGATGTTAGGCAGCAGTCCCACGGTTCTCACCATCACTGGGGACACACGTTCAGCCTGGATCATCTCTCTGTGAAAAGCTCCACAAGAATATCTTTTTCATTATTTAACACCCACTTGTCGTATTTTATTTGAACATTTGATCTTCAGGTTCACTTATTTAGCCCAAAGTGAAAATGTAGCACCTAATACCGTTCTAAAAACTAGTAAATGTTCTAAGTTCTGAAAATGGGAAAGAATTATGATTTTTCATAAAGTTTCAAAACTTACATGAGGTATAGGTGGGAATACACCCTCAGGTTGAAACAAAAGCCTATTAGAAACTTTTTTCATGCTCATGATAAGAAAATAAGACAGTGATTTGTTTACAAAAATCATACAAATAATTCTCAAAAGCCATTTTGGTTACAAATAGATATGAAATTATTTATAATTAAGCAATCTATGATGTTCGGAAATTATCATCGGTAAAATGTTATCCTCTATTTAATTATGCATTCTTGTTGATAATGCATAAATCCCTGTGATTATGTTCTTAAGTTAAGGAATTTAAAATAGCTCTATTTTAGATGCTCCTACTTTTCTGACTTAAAAAAAGCCTTTCGTATACCAACCAGGATACCATCCAATAACAATTCCTAAAGCTTGGAAACTTCTCTAATCAGACTCTTCTTAATGACGCTGTTCTCAATACTTGTCATTTTTAATTGTAGATGGCAAAAACAGCAGTAGCAATTTCATTTCTGTAGGAACCAATTCATTATTATGCAGCCTGCCAATGATGCTCTTGTTCCAACTCCTCCCAGCATGCCAACTTAGCCTTCACCAAATATTTTTCCTTTAAAAGTAAAACAATACAGAGCTTTTGAGTGAGTCTTGTGGTGTGGTTCAGTATCAATAGTTTCCAAATCGATTTTATTGGATCAAGAAAATGAGATGTTTCCCTCCATCTACATATCCAGCACCTTTCTGTTACGTAATAGAAATGGTACCTTGTGAATAATATTGTTCCTTATGTCATTCTTTCAGCTTACGCAAAAGTATTTATACCGTTGTATTTCATTTTGCACTTCCTGAGAAGACTGGTTTACAGTAAAGATACGCAGTTATTTTATTAAAATGCTTCATTATTTAAGGTGAATACTGGTGACTTAATAATAGTTGGAGAGTTTAAAAATACTAAGGACAGAAACCTCTTTGTGTTCACATATCTTTTGCCCTCTCTAGACTGTTCCTAGGGGGCAAGACCTGTTTCTTATTCATCTTTGTATATGGAGTACCCAATACAGTAGGTTGAAAATAAGGAGTCAACAGTTCTATTGAATAAATGAATTGATGGTTAAATGGATATAAATGTTGCTAAAAGTCATATGCTGAGATTTGCAGTGTTCTGAGATTTACATTTACAATAATCTGAAAATTAAAATACCCTACTATTTTGATACCTTCTCTTTTCTTCTTTTTTCTCTTTTGTCTCACAAGTCATGTTAACTAAAGCAGGTTACTCATAGATTTTTACTAGGAAGATGTTTCAGACCTGAAACCCCCACGTTTCCTCCTCTGGCCATCTGCTCTGTGCTCTGCTTTCCATTAGGATGGGTTCATTTTCTGCCTCATGGTTTGGACTCTGAGCCTCAGTCTCTGCTTGTGCTTCGTTCAGTGTTCACCATTCATGGCATGGTTGGGCTTCTTACCCTTTAAATCAGGAGAGCCTGGCATCTTCCTAAGCTGAGACTGCTCTTACCACGACTTCTTCCTGAACGCCCTTCCTCTTAGCGGCAGAGCCTTCTTGTTCTCCCTGTTAGGGATGTGTCCACATATTCAGCGGCTCTGCAGTCCCCGCAGCCACCCGTCTGCGGGTGTAGGTCACAGTTAGGCACTGCAGCCTGGCTGACACTCCAATCACTGGCCATATTCATCAGCCCTTTCTTTAGTGCTCTATGTGGCTAGAAGCCTGGTTTTTCTCCAACATGAAAGCCCGGTGTTTAGTTAGTGGAGAGAGCACAGCATGTTTGAGGGCGGCAGCTGGAAGACTACCTTCCCCACCAGAAACAGATCAAATGGTCATTTGAGATATTTCCAGGTTTCCTTGTTTAAAAGGCAGACAGATCAAAGACACTGTCACCCTCAAAGATTTGAAGACTAGCAGAGCAGCCTCAAGGCCATCACCCCCTCATGACCCCTAACTGTTCACTGTTTGTGGTGACTTTGCACTATGTGATCTGCCTGTCTACCTTAATCAAAGGATCTAGAGAATCAAATACTAGTACACTTAGTATTCTGTCTTGAATATCAACAAGAATAGGGCCATTTGTTAGTTATTTGAATACACTGGAAGAAAGTAATCTGCATATGTTGTTTTTAAATTTGCTACATAAACCCAGGACACATGCTAGTGATGGTTGTAGTTTCTATATTTTATTTTTAGGAAATGTCTAAAACATTACAGCAGTTAAGTCTTATTTCATTCAGAAAGCTTTATCTGACTTTCCCTTAAAACCGAATTACCTCCTGTATGTTGCCATATTACAAGAAGTTACCCTAGAACTAGGCATTTCTCCTGAAATTTTCATTTTTATAGTCAGGGTTAACTTGACTATATTCTGCACTAGAGTGATTTTAGGCTGATAAGGTCCTTTATGAGCAGAGGATGGATCTTATTTATAATTTTTACCCGTAATATCTAATATAGCACCTGAAACAAGTTTACCACTCAGTAAGTATTTCTTGAATTTGTTAGTATAAATTCCTAATGTACATTGTGCTCTTGTCCTGTGACTAGTTTGAATGTCCCATTTTTTTGTTGTCTACATTTATAACTATTTACTGTATATCTACTTTGGTATAATATGTGTACACATACATATGTCAAACAGAAGATATTTAGAAAGAGAAAGGGGGGGAAAGTGAGCATTGAGGAAATGTTTTGCCCATGCGGTAATGGTTAAAAAACAGCAATGGATTTTCTTGAACGCGGTTATATTTTATGGTATTTCAGCATATAGCCTTTTCTCTATTCACTCACCTAAAAAAAAACCCAAGGCTCTATCAACTTGATTGAGGAAAGGATTGTGGGAATCACTAAAAAGATAAAAAGTCAATAAATAGTTCCAACTGCCAATCATATAACCACAAGATAAAAAAAGAAAATCAAAACAGGCAAATACATGTTTCATTTTATTTGGGTAAATTTCCACATATGAAAGAATATCTTGGGTTAGCAGGGAAAGCAATCTGACTTTACCAGCAGCTTTGCAAGCATGGTCACTATCATCGCCACGCATCACCTCTGATTGACTTCCTGCTTGCTACCAGGTTCGGTTGGTGCTGGATTAGAAAACACAGAGTTTGAGCAGTGCAACAGCATGCTGCCGGTGGGCTTGCCAAATTAAAGCCCCAAGCCCAGGGTTGTCATTGTTGTTATTTTCATAGAAAAAGACTAAGGATAATGTAACAGAAACAATTCAAATGGCCAGAAAATATAGGAAAATGTGTCTTTGTTAACAGTTAATTCTATTAATCAGCTTGAGATATTTGTAAGGTAAAATTGAAATGGTATTTAGATTAGTGTAAATACTTGATTCTCTTGTTTGGATTGTAATTGTATTTTAGACAAGCCAACAATAATTTATAATTTTACTTTGGGAATATTTTTCTAATTATATTTGATTACAATATGTTCACAATACAGTATTTTAGTAACAGAGCATAACATCTTCTTTTTTTGATTTCTCTCCTTTGTCATCTATTCAACTTGCTCTTGCCTTGTGCTTCATGTTGGAAAAGGACTGTATCACATCTTAACTTCATGGGAAGAATCAATCAAACATTAAGTGAATTATTATACATTGCATGCCTTGCACTATCCTTGGAGGAAAAAGATACTTTGCATTAAGAAGTCTTCCCTTCAAGTCTTTCTGAAAAAGTAAATGATCTATTTATATCTTCAGAGTACTTAACTAAGCAGAATAACTATCATTGTCAATAATTTAAAATTATGATTTATGAACATGTTCTACAATAATAAAATGTTTGTAGAATTTAATATGCCAAAATATCAGAAAATATTTTAAACCATCCATTGTGCCTACATAGAAAGTATGCTATTTATAATTTTTGTGAATAATAAGCATCTTTCATATACCTATGTGGCAGTTAGAACTCTAGGATGGACCACATGATGGCTTCCTCCTGATATACAAACTCTGTGTAATCCTATCCCAGTAATAGTGGGTGGACCCAGGAATGTGATGAAGTATCACTCCCATGGTTATGTTACATTGTTTGTCAAAAGGGATTTTGTAGACATAATTAAGGTTCATAAACAGTTGACACTGTGTGTATTAGTCTGTTTTCACATTGCTGATAAAGACATACCTGAGACTGGGTAATTTATGAAGAAAAAGACGTTTAATGGACTTACAGTTCCACATGGCTAGGGACGCCTCACAATCGTGGCAGAAGACAAAAGGCATGACTTACATGGTGGCAGGCAAGAGAGAATGAGAGCCAAGTGAAAGGGGTTTCCCCTGATAAAACCGTCAGATCTCGTGGGACTTATTCACTACCATGAGAACAGTATGGGGGAAACCGCCCCCAGTATTCAGTTATCTCCCAGCAGGTCCATCCCACAGCATGTAAGAATTATGGGAGCTACAATTCAAGATGACTTTTCGGTGTGGACACAGCCAAACCACATCACTGTGTTGGACAAAAGGAAGATAAGCATGTTGCTAACTATTTAAGTTATTGCTTAGAGAAAAGTTATTATTAGAATGGCTATTTAAAATTTAGTATTATGAATTCATACATATACATGGATAGACTTCTTGAAAATTCAAGTTATAAAGAAATACGAAAAACACCAAAAAAAAAAAAAACACCACATGGACAGTTCCATCCACCAACAAGAGCATAAAATGCAGTTACCCACAGACAATCCCAGTGGAGGTACTTGCTGGTAACTTGTGACTCCTACTCCTTTTTAAAAGTGCTGTTTTCTTCTATTTGATTCAAAGAAAAATTTATTTCCACAAGAAATAACTGGAATCTGAATTAAGTACCTGTCAGTATATTTTGATTCTCGCTATTATCAATAATAATCTGTTGCCATTTAAAATAATGCATAAGTGCTTAATGTTATAGGAATTATATTTCATGCACATTCTTAATCCATGAGTGAGTGACAAATATGCTATATATTTATAAAATTATGAAGAATACTTGTTTCAAACTTATGGTAATGATATTATCATAATAAATGAGTGCTATTCTATAATGAGAGCCTTTTAGGGAAATTCTTTTAGGCCATTCTGGGATCATGTGGTGAACCACCTTTAGAATGACATTCAAGTCTCCCTGTTTTGAAGAAGTTGGAACCTATACTAACTGCTCTTCCTCTAACTATGTTGTCCTTGATAAAACAGTCTTTTGCCCCATTGTTCAAATATTTATAACTTACAAAAAAGTTTATCAAATCCACTGCATTGAATTGGCTTGTAATTATAGTCTATTGTATACATTGATTGCATTTTTTCCATCTACAATGTGACTTATGAGTCTGATATAGTCTCAGTCAATTACATGTGTATAATCATTATTGAACCAAAATAGACAATGGCAGGTCTGGAGCCAGTCTAGTCTGATACCTTAATGGGCCTTTAGAGACTTTTAATACACTGACTACTGGAATAATAGTCAGTCTACTGAATGACTTTGTATATTTTGATTTTTTTAAACTCTTGAGGTACAAAAGAAAGTTCTTAGAGGAAGGAACATTAAGAGTAACAATCACAATGCCATATGAAAATACTTGAATTCCAGATGTACTTGACTATGCTCCACATAGGAAGCGATGAGCAATTTGAAAAGAAATTTAAGAGTTGCTTATATTTGGAACCACTGTAGTACTTTTGCCTCTAATCAAAGAAAATATACAGTGGGATTCAGAGTTCCTTGTAACTTTATGTTCTTTCTAAAAATAGATGTAGTGGACAAATAACCCAGGAAAATTCCTAAAAGGATAACAGGGGTGTAAATCAAAAGATACTAGTAATATCCACATATACCTAGTTCAGAATTTCAAGATAAGAGTAACTAGAAATCTTTTTAGAGCAATCACCAATAAATTATAATTCTATACTTCATTTATTTATATGTTAAGGGATAAGGCTTGGGGTAAGTTAAAGTGATATATATAAATTCCCATCATACCATTTAAAATATGGGATTACTATGAAGTTCAATATTCTATTAAATAATAGTAATAACAGCACTTACTCATTGGATCATTATGGGGATTAAAAGAGTAGGCATATGCAAAGCTATAGGAAGTACTCAATTACAATATAATTATTATCATTCATTTATTCCTTTACACCAAAATTTCATAAGTACCTATTACCTGTGTGACAGAGAAAATATATTTTAATAATCAAACTACCCTGAAAATGAGTTTTAATCTTGAAAGACCTTAGAAGAGGTCTCACTGAAGTCTTTTCCATTCTTCAATTAGCTCTGGTAAGGAAGGCTATCAATTTTTGTGGTTCAAAGGAAAGAAATGAAAAACAAATTTTAAAATTTTTGAAAGAAAAAAGAGATGGAAAAGACAAACTGAAACTATATATTTGTCAGCTCCATGAAAAAAGAAAGAGATATCTAACGGGAAAAGCAGAAAATTCTACTGTATGTATTTTTCAACAATTTTTTTACTTGACAGAACAATCATATTCAGCAAAATTCTATTAATAGATATGATACAGACCTCTTCCAAACCCTGTTTTTATCTCAGTTACCCCTATTTTCTAGTCAAAACAGAAGTAAAAATATCATACTACAATGGGACAGACTCACTCTTTCCAATGCTGAGCTCCATTTTGGTTCATTTGAAACTTCTAAACGCCTAAAAATATTCTGGCCCTATATTAATAATGAGCAGCTTGGAGCCTCATTTCCTTGTAAACTTGCATTGAAATTATGTAATAAAAAATTTAAGTGACGGAGGAAATGTACACACACACTACACAAACTGATCTTAGATTGGAAATTGTGGACTCTTTTCTAAGGATAGATTCTCCTAGGTTAGCACCACACAAAAAGCTGTTCACATTTCTCAGAGTTCTATAGAACAGAATGGGTTAGCAGAGTTCTCTGTCCAATCTCCTCAGGCTAAAATTAAGTTGTTAGCTGGGGCTGCCATCTCATCCGACGTTCAGATCCTTGTCCACATGCTTTCGTTGTGGTTGTAGACAGAATTCAGTTTCTTGTGTTGTAAAGCAGAATTCGCTGTTTTCTTGCTGTAAGTCCTTAAAAAGACCATCAGTCTTTCTATTTCTTTTTCTATTTCTGTGTCTACCTTTATCTCAATCTCTGTCACTTCTCCCTCTCTCTCTCTTTCTCTCTCTCCAAGATCTGTGACTGAGGATTCAGAATTAAATAGTTAAAAACTTCAGTTTGACCCTGGTACTCCAGCTGCTGAAATATTAACAGCATTAAATGCGGGCAAATGGGAAACGTGAGTGTAGACCAGAAGCCGTTCAGCCGTGTGCTCTTGTTTTGTTGGTTCCTGAGAGTAGAATCTCTTGTGCTTTTCCCAGACAGATGAAAAGTGACAAAGGTGGTAGAAATATTTGATATTGTTACCACAATTCTTTGAAAGCAAAATTTGGCAGATGGATAGAGAAGATAGGGAAGGGGTTAATGTTCATGTTTGTTTTCTTTTTTTCAAGAAACATGCTTTTAATATGGTGTAAAACACCCTAGACAAATCTGTACCCTATATGAAAAATGGTTCCCTTCTTCATTTTTTAAAGTATATTTGTTTGCAATCAGTACATATAACAGGTTTGAAAAAAGGAAAATAACAGGAAATAGGGATATTGCTAATGTTTCTCAATTCAAATTGAAATGAATTCAGAAAACAACATTGAATAACATATTATATTGACATAAAATATTAATGTGTGTAAACATATAGGTAAAGGTATTGTGGGAAATTTCTGATTAGCTTTTAACTTGGTCATTGAAACATTATGTCAGTTGATTCACTTAAGAGTATCTAATAAGTTCTGCAAATGCACAGAATTTTCTGGGAACATTGAACTTAGAAATGAACATAGTATTAACATCTTATTGCCCATGTTACTTAAAATATTAAAAGTCAGTCATTTCTTCAGTGAAAATAATTATAGTCATAGAAAATGTTCTAATTTGCTTTTAATTTTCTAAACAAATAAATCTCAACCTCATATTTGCATAGGGAACTGAATCTTTTAATAGTATTTGTATAAGTCTCATCAATGAATGTGTTCTATGCATGAAGTATGGAATATCTAATTATATTTTTAAAAAGAAAAACTTTCATTTTTACACATTGGTACATAACTTCACCTTCTTCAACTTCCCAGACATTTCCAATGTCCAAATTTTGGTTACGTCCTTGAATTTTTGTTATTTCCTTAATATGTCTGGCTTCAGGAATTTTCTTCTTTTAAATTAAACAATATCTGTTATCTGAAAATCAAGTGTAAAGGCAGCCATTCACTTCATTTTCAGGATTTATATTGAACACTAGAACCAAATTAATCTCTTGCACTCCAGAATTAAGAAGGTTCTAATGACACAGTCAGTGAAAATGTACAGAATTATTACAGTTGAGTTTACCAAAGCAAGTTAGTCTATTTCCATCACCACTATGATTAAGTTCCTTTAACTCAATGAATTCCCCATTCCCACAACTGACTTTCCTGCAGTCTTAATAGCCAACTTGTATACTTTCCTTATACCTAGAGGATTTAAATATGAAATCAACTTATACTGTAATTTTATTTTACTTGAACACATTTTCTCTTTTCATTTTTTTATTTTACTTTCTTAGTCGGTGGTGTGTTCCTCCATATTAAGGCTTTCATTGCCTTATAATTATTACCATTATACACACGAAAGATACAATTGAGGGGAGTACCTTTACATGCAGCCACTCAGCAATATAATGAGCTGTGTGTTTTTCACATGGAACAAAGTCCCTAGATGTCACTCACAGGCCTCACCGGGTAGCAGTCATTTCTTTGGCATATCAACTACCATCTATCCAGCTGGCTTTCAAACTTGTGGTTTCAGACACTGGTAAATTTAATCTCATTTCATAGGAATACTGATGTATCAAACCAAAATTGCAATTTAAAATGAAAAACATACTTGTTACCTGAGTGGAATACTCCTATGGACATGGTGGATGTAGTCTAAATACATGAGAAGTCAAATTATGTAGAACGTCAAGTTATTAATAACTTGAACTAATATCTCAAGGACAAGAATATCAAGGTCTGTATGATGAAAGCATTTTCTCTCTGTATGCAGATGCACATGGAAAAATAAGTAATAAAGGTTGCTCAGAATCAGAATAAGGATAATTAGATAAGCCACTTTATTTATATATTTATTTATTTATTTGAGACAGAGTCTTGCCCTGTCTCCCAGGCTGGAGTTCAGTGGTGCAATTATAACTCACTGCAGCCACCTCAAACTCCTGGACTCAAGCAATCCTCCAGCCTAACCTCTCAAGTGGTTTAATTTTTTGTAGAGATGGAGTCTTGCTACTTTGCCCAGGCTGGTCTCAAACTCATGCAAGCAATGCTCCTGCCTCAACCTCCCAAAGTGTTGGGATTCTATGTGTGTTCCACCACACTTGGCCTAAATTGCATGCTTAATGGTTTTGGGCCATTACAGATGGACACCAAATGCAATCGAGGTTTTGTTAATGGGGAGGGAACAACATAACCCCTTACCTCTATCTCCAGCTTAGACATCACTTTGCCAATGGGAAAGAATTCCTGAAGTTTATTGCCCAAACCTCATACTTTTCTACAATGTTTGAAAGATACTTTGAATATTGACCTCTGTGATGACTCTTTCAATATGATCTCATGGATGATTAATACTCTTCTGCCTTCCCAGGGATTGGGACACTATTTTTAATACATGTACTCTATACATTTTTCACATTTCTCTCTTGTTCCATTCTGTTTCAGTCTTATAATGTAACATTAAGAGAGCAGTATAATTTCTTATTATTTTCAAGTTTTTGAGAAATAACTCATTCTGGGCTGTAAATATTGATAAATATATACCTCTTAATGTCTTTCCCATGCACTTAATTTTTATAATCTAACTTAATTTTTAAATTTAAATTTAAATTAGAAATGTTCAGCGATCTTTGGATACTGATATGATCAAATCATTAGAAAATGAGTTTTATAGGTGTCAACAGTTTATGCTATTAACCACAATGACAACCAGAAAATCATTGAGTCATAAAGTCTCATTCTACCTTCTAGAACACTTAGTGAAGAACCTGGTAGGTTAAAGAGTGAATCAAGTATACCTGTAGCTAATTTTATAGTACTCCTAATCTACCTCTTCCTCAGTGTATCATTTCCCCTCCTCCACAAATCCCACTTGCTTGTTTTCTTGCAAAGCTGCCAAGAAACTGTGAACAAATTTACTGTCTGAATGACTGATTGCTCTCTCAGTGACCTTGAAAAATTGCTTGCATCATTAAAAATTCATAGAAAATAACGTTTTGGAGAATACTCATATGTAATCACAGTACCTCCTGCTATGCTACTATACTATTACAATCTTCTGAACTTTAAAAACTATCTCAAAGACATTAAACTTGCTCTAGGTATCTAGTTAAATCAAAAGTTTCTTGCTGATTTTTCTTTCTCAAATATTCTGCATATTCTCCATGCAGAAAATTCTTCCACCTTTTTCTGCATATGGAGAATAAGAAACAGAAAATCAGAGTGAAGAGTCTGATTGACTCTAAATTTTTGCGACATGTCAGAATGCCTATTTCAAACTGCCACAAAGTATCAAATGAAGAGTGTCAGTTGTTCTTTTAATTGAGGTGAAATTCGCGTAACACATAATAACCATTTTAAAGGGTGAAATTGAGTGGTTTTTTTGTGCACTCACAATATTGTGCAACTACCACCCCATCTAGTTTTGAAACTTTTTAACCCCGCAGAACATCCTCTACCCTTTAAGTAGTAACTCCATACTTCTCCCTCTTCCCTTCTTCTGGCAACCACCAATGTGCTTTCTGTCTCTATGGATTTGCCTATTCTGGATTTCAATCGTTTTAATTTTAAATATGTACAAATTACAAATTCTGCTTATGCATTGATTGTATGCCTCATTTTTCTTGAGGAATGAGACATGGAGGACTAGGATGTGAAATCCTAGTAATAATTCCTGGAAACTCTGACAAGATGGTAAAGTCTCACCATAAGCAGCCTTCTGATCTCTCTCCCAGAACAAGTATCACCCTCTACTGTAATGATCTGCTTATTTGTCTGTATTCTCTTCAAGACAGTAATCACTGGTGGGCTTTTTTTCAAACTGTAATGCTTAGCACAATGCCTTTATATGCTTCAGTCCTTGGTGTTTGCTGAAGGAAATGAAGGGGAACAGGAAGAGAAGAGGTGGAGCTCATTAGTGATGTTTTGACCCTAGATGAATAAATGAAGAAATGATTTTACTGGGTTCTGTTTCTTTTTTGTTTTTTCTTTCTTTTTTTTCTTCCTTTTCTCTTTTTTCTTTTTCTTCTTCTTTTCCTCCCGATGTCTGATTTTCCTGAAATTAGTTTGAAGACTATGGAATTGGCTCCAGAATATACTTATTGTATTAAAATTGACCTTACCTTGTCTTATCCAACATTTGGCTTTATTAGCATATAAGCAATGATTATGTGTCATGTATTATTATCTAATTGGTAAAGAGCTATGTTTAATTATCTGGGTAATGCAATCTGATTTTGATCTGTCTGTTTTCTTTCACTAGGCTTTCTTTCCTCTTGCACAACACTTGTCTCTCAACCCACCCCCAGCACCTTGCCCAAAGCATTGGTGCTTAGTCTGGTAGGTTCAGTCAATGAACACTCACCCAGTGTTAGAGTGAGATAACTAGTTAGATGACGGCCTATGGAAAAGGGAGAAAAACTAGTTTCAAATCCCTTCCTTCCTGTATATTTTCCGTAAAATCTGATTATTTTGCATGGAATAGTAGGAAATATGATCATATGAAAACCCAGTGTCAACCACATTCAATTTCCTATAAGACAGCTTCCTTTTAATGGGCAGATTGCCCACAACAAAGAGTAGTGAGTATCATTTCAGCAATGGATAAGATAAGCACTTTCTTTTACCTTACCCTCTTTCTTTCACTTCATGTTTGAAGATAATGAATGCTGGTAGATCTGTGTTGTATGTCTGAAAAAAGCAAATGGTAAACAAAAGCCTCCCCTATAATTCTTTAAACCTCAATGCTCATGTGCCTTCATTCTCTGTTGGCTTGAACAAACAATTCCTTCATAGACGAGGCATTAGGAATGTATTTTAATCTTGTTTCCAAAGTTCTGTGAAGATAGTGCTACCTATTTGATTTGTGGAGAAGAATGGGTCCTTGTTGATTTTACAGAATTTCTAAGGAAATTGTTTTCTGCTCATTTCATCTTTCCTCTGGATAACACGTCACATTATCTTGTATGGTAGTGTCTGCTGTTCGCTTCTCAGTGCCATTAACATACATCTGGGCCACCCTTTGTGTGGAACTGTCCCCTGGTGAAACCCTCCGTGGTCTGGGGTGGAGAAAGACTGCAATTTACAGAGTCCATTATCACCTCTGGACGTGTAGAATGATAATGGAAGTGACAGAGGTGCAGCTGAAAATTGGCTCTTAATATTTTATGTGTTCAAGCAAAGGATTGGAAATCTCATGCTGCTCTTTAGGGAAAATGAAGTATGTGGGATTTTTTTTTTATCAGAAAGTTATATGCAAAGAGTTGACTGCAGGATTTCAAATAAATTGTTACACCATATTCATTTCTTGTTAACGAGTACTTTTCACTAGGGAAAAATACTTTTGTGTGAAAAATTAATATATGGAAGCAAAATGTATCAGCATTGAAGCAAATTTAAAATAATGTACCATATACATTACCACTTTGTTTTAACCAATATGCTATGTCTATAGAGTCATAAATATTTGCTTTAAAAGGTTATCTTTAAATTGTTTGGTTGCTTTTTGTTACTTTCCACCTAACATATTCTTTTCTGACTTACAGACACGACCATGTTTCAAGAGCTATCACGGTCATGTTGATTTTGGAAACGGAAATTTTGGGTCAGATATTTTAGTGTTTAAGACATATAGTATAAGATAGAAAACAAATACAGTTTCTGAAATAGTTACATTGATAATTTAACATTTATCTCATTTGTTATAATGTTTATTATTTCACTAAAGAGAGGTGTTTATCAAAAGAATTCTTTCTTGAAAAATATAGTTGCTTTCTGTTTTGACTAAGACGTGAAACAATACAGTGTCTGTAGAAGAATTTTATTACTTTTCATCAATCTGATCTCAGACAAAACAAAAGTAGTAAGACAATATTCTTTCTTACTAATAAAAGATTAAACAACTTGAAATTTAGCAAATGTTAGGATATGTTTTTATTTCCTTAATGTATATTTATGATGAGAATTTCCAATTTCTCTACTTTACCAAATAGTAACTATTAGGGTTATTACTATATCACTATTGACTTATGGTTAAGATATCGAGATTTTACATTTTGAAGCATTTGGAGATGAAGGGATAAACTTGGTGAGGTTTTTCAGTAACATTTCAGAAATGACAGACTACTTTTTCTTATATGTTTCTGTCGAAGTTTCCTTTCTGGAAATGAATATCACTTTACTAAGCTGTAAGCAGGAAAAGTTTCAAGCTGCTGTGGTGGGCTTCAAACCTAATTTAAATCAGCATTGCCTGCCATTTTGAGTAAGGTCCCTGTAGATCAGTTTATTTAGATGTGTAATGTGATTCAGATGCCACTGACAAGATCAGATTAACAAGACTTCCACGTTGAGATTTAAAGTGACTTCTAAATGCTACAAACACTCTACTAGTGATGCTCAACTAATTGCTACGTAAGTCATAGATTTTTCATATTTTTATGAAACAAATGTAGTTTTTACATTGTATGGAATCAGTATGAATACCTTTACTTTAATCACTAACATTTATTGAAGATTTATGTGCTAACAAAATTATAGGCACTTTTACATATGTTCTTTATGCTACATTAGTCTTTTGGGGCATGCTTATGAGGGAAAAGGTGATTGTCCTGGTCTTCATTCGCCCCAGACCTAGTTTAATTCCTGGAAATTGATAGGACCTCAATAAATATTTCTTGAATGATTTAAGACATTACTTAAGCCATGATGACAAGGATATCTATGTAAACATTTTAATTTACCTTTTTCAAATAAGCAACTTGGAAAATATGTATTAAATGGATGACTTTTTTAGTTTACTCCATGCCATGCACTGCAGTTTGTGGAAACACGTCACTCTTATTTAAGCAGCATTACTAATAATAGATAATGAAGAAATAAATTTCTCAGAGAAATAAGACGGAGAAAGGAAGCTGAAAGAATGATACCACTCAAATAGTTTTTCACAGTGCAGTTCAAAACCATTAGATCTTTGATGTAAGAAGTACCACCAAGGCCAGGTGCAGTGGCTTATGCCTGTAATGCTGACACTTTGGGAAGCCACACCAGAAGGATTGCTTGAGACAAGGAGTTTCATAGTGACACACACTCTCTACAGAAAAAAAATTTTTAATTAGCCTGGTGTGCTGGCATGCACCTTTAGTCCCAGCTACTCAGGAGGCTGATATGTGAGGATCACTTGAGCCCAGGAGCTTGAGGCCTCAGTGAGCTATGAACCTATGATTGTGCTACTGCACTCTAGCCTAGGTGACAGAGCAAGATCCCATCTTCAAGGGGGTTGGGGGAAGAAGCACCACCTTACAATTTACATCCTGCTAATTACCTATAATGCCTAGATGCAGTGATGACATGGTGGAAAGGGCAGATCTGTTATCTGTTCTCTCAAAGGGAAATGATGTATAGATAGAAACAGAGAGATTCTTATAAAATAGAATTCTCCTTGGTGAGTTGCTGACTAAAATTAAATTGACATAAGTAAATAAATCTTGAATAGTTCAGGGATTGTTCGTCCCTGCTGACAGTAACAAGAAACTTGGGTACGGGCCAGATTTTCCACTGCAGTCTGAAGAACTTTGATTTCTTGAAATGCATGTCACCAAAATTTGACAAATGCTCCAATATTTAAACACTACTAGAACCTAGAACTTTCCCATACAAACAATAAAATGTAAGACTAAAACTTAAATGACTTTATTGTTTCAATAAATATAAGACTAAAGTTCTTAATAAAGTCACTAACAGATATCTTAGTTGGCAGATTTACTAGAAGAGTTCTGTACAGGGTTTATATGTAGATTTGTTCAGTTACAAGTTTGAAACGTTGCAGAATTTCACATTCCACTCTTTATACAAGCTTCTATTTTCTGACTAAGAACTGCCACCACTTTCTTAGATGTCTTTATGTTTTCCTCATTCCTGTCAATGGCTTGAAGAATTGGCATTCTTCTGGGGAAACATTTTTCATGAGAGAAAAAGATTTTTGTTATTTTATGAGCATGAGAAAATTAGCTATGTGAGATGTGGATGCTGCATACCACCATACACCTTACAGGAAGTCAATATTCATTATAACAAATTTAGAATTATTTTTCATTGATGAATCTCATATTAAAAATTAAGTGTTCAATCCATAAGTGTCCGTGATTATTTTTAAAGGGGCTGGTTTCATGAAAGGCCTGGAATTTTGGTGGTCATGACAGGCAATGGCCCTCTCATTGCTTTTGCGTACCAAGCATGTACATAAATAGAATTCCAGAGATAAAAACTTCATCAAGTTGAGGGCTTAACTGGTTTGCTGTTTTGAGAAGGGCCAGGTAACAGTGGTCTTTCTTTTTGTTACCAGGTATGGATGTTCCCTCTGGGTCCTGCCAGGTCTAGAACAAAGTAGCAATATTTCAAGTGTCTTTTTTGTTGATATAATTTGTTTTTTTTTTCCCAGTAGGAGCAAGTTTGCATAATCAGTATGTGGGGATGTGTGGGGAGTAAGGGGAAGGCAATGGATATGGGGTCTTACCTGGCGTAGCCTTGGATCAAATGGCCCCATGACATTAGAAGAGTCTACTTAGAGTCCCCAAAGAAAAGGGGCACCTAGAACAGATTAATAACTACTTCTGTTTTCAAGTTAAACTGGCCAGAAAACACATGAAAACAATTTTAGCATCCAAATACAATGAATCATTAAGTGATATAAAATGTTTATCTCGAAAGAGAGTGTATCCATTACTTAGAGCTTTTCTGTGTAAAAATGTATTTCCCAGGTGTAATGACATTAGCATATACTTTCATGTCAAAATTCTGCAGGCTTGGTAGTTGTAATTCAATTTATTAAAGGAACATACGTGGAAAATGTTATTGCTCTGTTCTTTCTCACACCACCATATGTTACACTTGCCACCATTTTCTCTCAACTCCACCCTGAGTTAAAGCTGCTTTTCCCAGGATTTGGAGACATTTTGCTTATCTTTCCTTAACTCGATCCATTATGTGCCATCACTAGAATTTAAAATTGATTTCATATCCATTTAAATTAATTTGATCCTCACAATAATCCCAAGAGGTAGACAGAGTGGATTGTATTGTTAGTGAACTTCTTTCTCATATGAGGAAAGTAAGGCCCAGAGGGGTCGTATGGGTTGCCTCTGGTGATGAGGTTTTCGCTTTTCAAATGTTGCATGTGTGGCTACAACCATGCTTCATTGTTCTTCCCACAGAAGACAGTGTCCACAAATCAGGCTTTCTCTCTCTCTCTCTCTCTCTCTCTCTCTCTCTCTCACACACACACACACACACACACACACAGAGACACACACATTAGCAAAACTTGAATACTTGTGACATGCTAACATCACCACCATTTTCTCTCAGCCCCGCCCTGACATATCAGGGTGAGACTATCAGAGTGGAGCTGAGAGAAAATGGTGGCGATGCATGTTAGCACGTTACAAGTGTTGCTTTTCTCAACTGGACATTAGCTGGAAAGTGTCAGCAGGAAAGAGATTGTTTGCTCTACTGATGAAAGCCCTTTCCTATTAATCTGTCAAAATTCTGTCTATCCTATGGTGCCAGCCCAAGCCGCTTCTTCCTGAAAGAATATCCCCTTTCCTACAGGTTTCCTCTGTTATTATATTCTTTACAGTCTGCCTTACGGTAGACTATTTATTTCCTATCATTGCGTCTTAATGAATCTAAAATTAGGCACAGGCTGGGCGCAGTGGGTCATGCCCATAATCCCAGCACTTTGGAAGCCGTGGCAGGCAGATCGCCTGAGATCACGAGTTTGAGACCAGCCTGGCCAACATGGTGAAACCCCGTCTCTACTAAAAATACAAAAGTTAGCTGGGCGTGGTGACAGGCACCTGTAATCCCAGCTACTCGGGAGGCTGAGGCAGGGGAATTGCTTGAACCTGGGAGAAAGAGGTTGCAGTAAGCCGAGATTGCGCCACTGCACTCCAGCCTGGGTGACAGAGTGAGACTTCGTCTCAAATAAATAAAAAAATAAATAAATAATAAAATTAGGCAGGCCTGACTTTTATTTTCAGAACTGTCACTTTAACTAGCTATGTGACACTGGGCTAGTTGTTACATTTTGTAATATAACTTTCCTTGTCTATAAATCAGGGCCCTTGTCTCAGTGAAGTTTTGAAGCTTAAAACATGTAAATAGTTAAGCAAAATGTGTGATACATATAAAGTGCTCAATAAATGGGACCTGCTATTATTTTTGGATTTCGTATCTCTCTGGAGTTTAATTCAGATATTCATTTTCCTATGAATCTAGAATAGTAATTGAATATAGAATTTTATAACAATACATATATATGTATTTCTAATCTCTAGCTCTTCAATTTTTTACTAGACAAAATAGATTCAGATCTAAGAAGATGTATCTAGATAAAATACAACATTATGATCATGCTACAGAGGAACACATCTTGATTCTATAACTCCAAGTATTATGAATATGAATAATTTTTGTATGCAGTCAATTCCTGATTAGGTCAAACAGAGAAAGAAACTTAAGAATAGATAATGGTAAGATTCTGCCAGTCTACTAAGCTGTGCATAGGGAATGATAGAGAAATGCTGTGGAGACCACCTTGTGCATGGATAGCCAAGATAAAACAGTGGTATACTGGTCATGCACAATCAACAGACGTATTTAATGCTCCATTATTGAAAAACCAGATAATCGCAGAAAATGAACGGATTTTTTTAAAGAAATTTATATTGAGTAAAATTCACCCATTTTAGTGTACAGTTTTATGAGTTTTGAAACGCAGTGTGTAACCACTATAGTTGTGTAGCCAACACAATCAAGATGTAGGATATTTACTGTTGTGTGCCAGTGAACCTGAAATCAGGCAGGTTTAAATTTAAATCTGCGATCTGCCACTTTCATTAGATGCTTGTCATTGAACATTTTCCTCACCTCCAAAATATACCCTCATGTCTACTTTCCGTCAATCCCTACCCTTGCTCCCATTGTCTGGTCACACTTACTTGTTTCCTCGCCCTGAAGTTTCTTTCTTTCCCAGAATGTCATATAAATGTAATCTAAATAATCATCATTATGAGCTTACTGAGTATTGCACAATTACTGTATGTAAGAATTTGTATTGTAATATTAAGTAGTCCCTCAGAGTCTATCACCATATGGAATGCTCATTTTCCGTGGATCGAGTCAGATAACTATTTTTGAATTCTTGTCTTCCATTTTGTAGATTTTTTTTTTCCTACAGCCTTTCCCTCTGTCTTTACAGCTTGCCTTCAGTTTGCTCTCTGGCTACATCTTGCTATGCTCTCCTCTTCTTATTTGCTACTTATTTGTATCATAGTAAATCAGATTAAATAACTTGTTGAATCGTTGGTTACTTAAGAACAGATGAGTTCTGAATGAGGCCGGTCTCTTTAGGCACTCTCTTGAGACAAAGTGTGTCCTTCCTTTATTCTAGGTACTTTATAAAATCTACCTTTATAAAAACCACTCCACCCCCCCACGTTGTTTTTTTTGTTTGTTTGTTTTGTTTTGTTTTTTTTGCAGGCTCTTTGTTATCTTCCAGAAACGTGATATTCTTAGTAAGTAACTTCCGGTGGTGCTATCTTAATAATAACAGGGAGTCACATCGCAAGCTTTCCCTCTCCTCCGCTCCAGCACTGAACACCTGTGTTTCACTGAGCAGCTGAAGACTTACTTCTTCCACCTCTTCAAAAATGTGTCTTGATGACTCCACTCGATCTACATTTCTCTCACATTGCTCAGAAAATTCATTTATTGCTTTTTTGCATACTCATTTGTTTCGCAGTAACTTGAGGCTTCTCGGCAACAAAATTGTCAAGAACTTACTTGTACTTTCTCCTCTAAATGCTTTCCTTCATACTAGACATATTATTGCCAAACCAATAAATATTTACCGATTTGTTG
The DNA here is from genome assembly GCF_000001405.40 of Homo sapiens. NCBI lineage: Eukaryota > Metazoa > Chordata > Mammalia > Primates > Hominidae > Homo > Homo sapiens. The sequence continues at coordinate 95,445,578 of NC_000004.12, read as the reverse complement.
CTTGATTCGCTGGTATAAAGCAACATAAACAAGAGTATCCTTATCTTACTGAATTTGTTTACTTTATGTTACTGATTCTATCACAGGGTGTACTATTTTTAAAAAGCCAATTCTACAGGACTGTTGTTATCAAGAGCGGAATTGGAAAACATGCCAGCTGAATCCGAACGGAACAGAAACCTAAACTGCATTCAGCTGCATTCCCTCCCCTTTTCACTGCAATTTATCTAAAAGAAAAAAAAAAGATTCATTTCTCTAATTAATTCATCTAGGAAAAAAAGGGTTGGAGGGCAGATGAAATTCAGGAGAAAAAAACTAAGAATGGAAATGATGTATAGTTGCAAGTAGGGAAGGACAAAATAAACCTTAGTAATTTAATTTACAAATCATCCCCTGAAAATTGATATATATTTGTTATATGAATTGTCTCTATGCCCTCTCCATTACAAAAATAGAAAAGCAAAAGGCAACTAATAATGAAAATAAGTTGGGTGAGGTGACAGCTTTGTCATTTTTTTAATTGGATTCGCGCTCTCCTTCCCTTCTGAAATGACGCACTCAAGACTCTGCCTCCACAGCTGTCAGTTTAGTTCCCTCAGACATTATTAAACCCTGCAATGAAGCTTCCATTGGAATAAATCTACCAAAAGTGGCTCTTCATATGTTTCTCTGTACATTTCTAAATATAATTGAAAACTGTTTCAGTATGGTATTTCAGTTAATTTTTTTTAATGGAAGCAAAATCGCGGAGTTGCAGACTGGTGATAATCCCCTGCAGATATAGGACTTTCAGAGCTAGCCCAAGAGCTCTGAATACAGGGAGTCAATGGAGGAAAGTTATTGATTTGCTCCTCCAGTTCTGAGGACTGTTTTACTGTGTTGTACCTACGGTACTTTGTCCCCTTGGCCAATCATACAGGTTCCTAAAGTGCTTTAAAAGGCAATGCAGGCCCGGCGCGGTGCCTCACGCCTGTAATCCCAGCACTTTGGGAGGTTGAGGCGGGCGGATCACGAGGTCAGGAGATCGAGACCATCCTGGCTAACACGGTGAAACCCCGTCTCTACTAAAAATACAAAAAATTAGCCAGGCAAGGTGGCAGGCCCCTGTAGTCCCAGCTACTCGGGAGGCTGAGGCAGGAGAATGGCGTGAAGCCAGGGGGGCGGATCCTGCAGTGAGCGGAGATCGCACCACTGCACTCCAGCCTGGGCGACAGAGCGAGACTCCGTCTCAAAAAAAAAAAAAAAAGGCAATGCACTCCAGCTGCCTATTTACTTGCTGTCAGACAAGCAAGTATCCCCACTTTATAAGTGGGATTGCTGAGGCCCACAGTGAACTTCCAAGACCCCATGGTGAATAAAGGAGAAAGAGGTCAATGAGCAGGTCTTTATCTGCCAGTGCAGTTTTCACTGTAGAACCCCACATTAGCAGAGATGAGCTCAAGTCTGTTGTCCATCTGTCCATTCCCAGTATAATCTATGGAGTTAGTTTCATGCTCTCAAAGGATATTCAGGAGACCATTAGCATATATGGAGATGCGCTATATTAATAGCCATCTCCATGGTACAAGACTAAGGAATTCACTCTGTCAGTATTCAAAAATGGTGATGGAGTCTTAATGGATTAATATATGTTTATGTATATAAAATAAAACATTCATGGTTTAATTAAAGTGTTTGTAAATTATCTTGATTTTATCTTAGTGAAAAAATAGGGTGTTTGTATTATTCAAGAGAGAGTAGATCAAATCCTACCAGTACTTTGATTGAAAATTCTGTAATCTCACAGAAATTCAATAAAGAATAATAATAAAAAGAAACAATAAATATATAGTTCAAATAAACTTTTCTATACCCCTTAATATTGATAGAATTCTGTATAGGAACATCATTTTCATGTTGTATCTATAAAAAAAGCACAAACTGAAAATAAAAGATGGTTAAATAATAAAAGGAAAACATTTTTAAATGTCAAATTTTCAGTGAGTTCCAAATAAAAGAATTATTTATTACATTCTCAAAGGTCCTAGATTCCTCTGCATCCTTGCAGCAAATGATTGGCAAATTGCTTTGATTGTTCATATAATATCAGTGTGCATTTAGAGTAACAGAGACCCTCAGTCATTTGAAGAAATCTTTTGAAAGTTAAGAAATGTTAAAGAAATAGTATTTAACATACTAATACATACTGTGAGTAGCAAAAATAGGTACCCTGTTACTCTCTGGTAGTTTCTAATTATACTTGAAAAATAACAACACAAAAATACACAAAGACCTCTGAGGCCCTCCCTGATCTCTAAGATGTCCCTTGCCTGGCTGTGTCCTTTCTGATCTGATCACGTAGTATTCTTTTCCCTGTGTGACACTGACTTTCTTGCTGTCTAATTGTTTAGACTATCCAACCTGCTTGCCATATCCAGCCTCCTACATTAGCTGTTTCCTCTCCTTGGGATGTTCTTATAGCAGATTTTGTATTATTTCCTTATTAATATCAACTAGTCCTCCCTTAATCAGTCTGGCTAAAATATCCCCAGCTTCTCACTCTTTCTTTTTTTGGAATTAGCTTATCTCCTCATGCTCCCCAACTGGAATGCGAGCTCTTTGAAGGCAAGGACTGTCTTCTTCATTATCATGTCCTCCAAACCTAGGAAACATCTGCCAGCGTTACCATTATGATAAATAATACAAGAAGAAGCTATACATACATACATAGCATATATTTGCATGAATATGTTTGTGTGTGTATGTGTGTGTGTGTGTGTGTATTGGCGCACACACTCATGCATGGACTTTTAGGAAAGAAATTAAGGACACGTCTGCATACATTACTAATTATTTGGCGCATTATTATATTAGGCTACATTTGTGATTGATTCTATATAAGACAGCTATTATTTTACCTCACCAAAATTCTTCCAGCTGTGAATAATAGAAGCAGAAGAGAATATATATTGTTAAAAATGATAAGTGTGCCTGTAGTCTCAGCTACTTGGGGGCTGGGGTGAGAGGACTGCTTGAGCCCAGGAGTTGGAGGCCAGCCTGGGCAACATAGCACGACTCCATCTCTAAAAAACAGGCGGGCTTGATGGGTCACACATGTAATCCCAGCACTTTGGGAGGCCAAGGAGGGAAGATCGCTTGAGACCAGGAACTTAAGACCAGCCTGGGCAACATAGTGATACCCTGTCTCTACAAAAAAAAAAAAAAAAAAATTAGCTGGGCATGGTTGCACATGCCTGTAGTCCCAGCTACACAGGGGGCTAATGTGAGAGGATCACTTGAGCCCAGGAATTCAAGGCTACAGTGATCTATGATCACACCACTGCACTCCAGCCTGGGCAACAGACCAAACCCTGTTTCAAAACAAACAAACAAATAAACAAACAATCAAAAAACAGTAGGGTCCTTCAAGACTTTGAAAGTCTTGAAGTCTTCAAAGATAATTCAATCTCTTTCTCTCTACCCCTGCGCTACTACTGTTAAGAGAGTTAAAACTCAAAAAGTTGACATGGTTCACAGCGTCACATGTCTAGTAGACTATACAAGCAATTCACCAAACTGGGCTCCTGAATGGAAGTCATAAATTCTTTACACTAACCAGGTTGCCTTTCTTTGCTCTGTGCTGGGTGATCCACCAACTGACCTGCTTAGCGTGTTAATCTTACTAGTTTACTATACTATTTAGCTTCATGAGAGCAACTTATTCTGAACAGTGCTCAAGAGTCCAGCCTCCTGAAACAGACTGTTTGGGTTTGAATTCTGACTGTACCATTCACTAGATATATTGCCTTAGTTAGGTAAGTCACATCACTGTGCCTCACTTAATTCATCTGTAAAACAGTGATAATGATACAGGTCTTTTGCTGTGATAATTAAATAAAATAATTTATGTAATTAGTTACATTACATATATTATGTGTCTATGTATATATATGTATTACATATTCATATACAGAACAGTGTAATTATACCTAGTTTTTGCAAGATCTCCAAAACATTGATTTGCAGAGTTACTTAGAATAAAGAAAAATTGAGTGCTAACTTAAACAAATAACATTAGGCCAAAGTAATTTAGCAATTTCTTTATTAGTCAAATATTGATTGAAAAATAAAACAACCTGGGCATATTTTTCACTGATAATCACAGAGTCCTCCTTCGTTATTCATTAAATAATTTTAATATTATCTTTTGAAACATACAATTTTGAAAGTGAAATTTACGCAAAGAGCATAATGCATTCATTTGAAGTTCATTTGGAAGGATTTCTGTATTAGCAGTTCCACTGCTTCCTTTTGTTGAGCTAGGAAATGAGGACATAGCCATATTTGTTCAGGAATGAATAGAAACATGACACAAAAGCAGAAGTCTGGTGGCCTGACATTGAAATTGTCCTTGTATATTAATTTTTTAAGCAGTTTTTAAGACACCGTTGAATTTAAGCAGCCTCCATAAAGGAATGCTTTTATGTGGTCAAAACCAAATTTAGAAATCAGAAATTCTTAATTCCAATAGTATATAGACTCTATTTCCAATGACCTGTCCAGTTTCGTTTTTATTTCTCTTTTTTAAAATTGAATGTGGCTTATATTTAATATTTGTGAAGTCCTTTCAGATTCTTCAAATGAGCGACTCTATATAAATGCAGAAATAGCATTGTTAATTCCCAAGAGTATTATAAAAATTACTTAATGTTTGTAAAGTACATTGAAGATGAAAATTGTGATGTAAGCAGTAAGTGTTAAGTATTATTTATTAAAGAAAAGCATGTTAGAGCTATGGTTGCTGATAAGTACTTTTTAAATTTCACCGAGTTTCTTTCAAGTTCACTGAGGCATGGCCAAATGTTATTCAAGCACTCCAGGAATCTTCCCTCCTTTTGGGACTTACTGCTTTTTTTTTCGGTGTCAGGTCTTCGGAATCTTAATTTTCTCTTACTAATTATCACCATTACTGCTATCTAAAAACCTAGAATGCCTTAAAATTATATACAAGTGAAATTAGCTATATATGCAGTATTTTTGAGTGGAAAGAAGTAAGTAGAGTCTTCTACTCATACTTTAATTAAAAGTCATACCAATATTTGAAATAATCATGAAAGTACTGAATAACTGGAGAGAGCCTAACATCCTCTCTGAATGGTATATGATACTAAATTGCTGTTAATGAAGGTTGAAAAAATTGGTCTGTTTTGTTTGAATTTCTTACATTTGGAGAGCAAAATATTTTTTAAGATGTGACTAAATTCATCTGGGTTGTCTCTTTTCCACATTTATTCCCTTCTCTAATACTAGCACATAGGGAAACAAACAGAACAAAGGCAGCAAACACAGGTAAGCCACCTCCTACTGAAAACAATCTACTGTCTCCCTTTCTCCATTACGTGTACTTCTGGCTTTCCTATCCGTGCAGAACAATAGCCTCTCTGTGATTTTATAATCTCTGCAGGAAAACCAACAAAGGTATCTGAGGGTCGCTGCATTGCCAGAGAACAGCAGAGGCAGAACCACCAATGGAAAGCAGAAGCAGCAACAGGTGGCCGATTTTGCACAAAATGCAGGAGAGAAATGTCTCCTAGTGCATAAGGGAAAATAAACAGCATGATTGAGTAGGTCAGCTCTTAGCTTGTCCTCTCTTCCTGTATTCTCTCTTTTTTTCCTCTCCTTTTCTAACATTTCAACCTCTAGGAAGGAGTTGGTGACAGAGTGGTGCCATGAAATTAGAAGAAAAAGACTGACATTCAATTTCTTAGTGCCTGTGGGGTCAATACACGCCCTGACATATGGGTTTACGTTTCCCACCCAATTAGCCAGTCTAAATGGGAATATTCATTGTTCTAAGCAAATCCAAATTGACATCAGCATCTCCCAAATTTATTTGACCTCAGAACACCTTTTTTCCCAAAACACCATTAACATCCTGCTTCTAGAATGCACTTTGGGAAATGATGCTTTTTATACAATCAAAAAAGTTTCAATTACATATTCAACTTATCACATTAACACGGAAGTATGTGACATGTTTTTGGAAGGTTTCCTTCAAATAAAATATTTTGTTTCCAGAAGTATTTCTCTTTCATCTATCAAAAGCATATCTGTGACTCTAACCATATCCAATAACAAAGGGGATGCTTGTGCTTTGTGTTAAATAAACTTTCCCTTAAAACATAAGAAGGAGAAGAGGAAACAAAAAAAAAAAAACCAAAACCTCATGTAACACTTCTTTTTGCTAAATGATTCAGATTTTTCCTCTTGAGTTTATGGTTCAAACAGCCTTTGAACCCTTCTTTACATCATCCACGCCAGCCGTGCTTATAAATCTTTTCCATTCTAGAAGCTTGAGATGTTTTATTATTTATCTGTATTTGTTGGGGCCAGCCTTGATAAAGCAGATTGTTTATAATGGAACTGCTTACTGCAAGGGCCTGTAAAAGAAAAATAAGCTCAATGTGGCCTGTGAACTTGGATATGCACCAGGGTATAATTTTTCCTGCTACATGACAGGGTAGAAAGAGACTGAAATCACTGATAGAGTTTTGGGAGATTTAAAGATTGAAAACAAAGCTACCTTGTACCATCTTCACTTGGGGAGAAGGAAAGACCCTTAGCATTTAGGGAAGACCTCGTCCTATCCTCCGTTTATTGATGGGTTTCCTCAATGATTATGGATAACTGGAAAAGGAGAAGATAGGTATCTAGAGGCTCATTTCTGGAAAACTAAATATCTACAGAAAGCAGCAATGCTCTCTGCAAAGTTTACAAATAAATCAATCAATAAAATCAGCTGTTTAGGAATGCACACACAATATTTTATATTCTGGTACATTTCATAGAATGTGTGCTTAGATTCATCAGATGCAGAATGGAAATAATCATATAGCAGTCCTTCCTTATCTGCAGGAACTATGTTCCAAGAACCCCTGTAGTTGCCTGAAATGATGGATAGTACCAAACCCTATGTACACTGTATGCCTAGCTCTTAAGGATTTTTGAGTGATAACTATATTATTGCTATCTCTATGTATCAGCAAAAAGCTAAAAACATTTTTTGCAAACCAAATTTTTCTGTTTTGAGACATATACTTTTGCATTATGCTATACTTTTCATGTATTTTTGTGTTCATTTTATTTATATGATATTTTCAAAAAGAGACGTTCCTATAGTTGAATTATTAAATAAGAGGATATCTGTTCCCAGAAAGTTATCTTGGCTCCAGAGCCACCAGAATTCATTCTTCTAATCTGCACTGATAAATATTGATATGTGGTAATTTGGGAGCTTTGTTTTAATGGGAGAAGAAGGTTTTTAATTTTCACTGGTAGTACTTTGACATGGTCATGGAACCTCTGAGTTCAGGTCCAGGGTCCTCACCATCTTTCTGAGAAATATCTTATTAAAACTAGAGTGGTCCCTGGCAAAAGCAATAACAACAGCAACAGCAAACAACAAATTTTTAGTTATGTTGATTGACTTACCTAAAATCCTGATCTGGTAGAATGGTGCCAATATATATCTGTAAATGGAGATCCTGTGAGGCAAAGTTTCTTTTACCATGAGTTTTGTTATAGTGATGGAAAAGAAAATTCACACATAGTATTAATGAATTTAGAAGCATGAATGTGCAAAGTTTACCTGCAGCTCTGCCTTTATCTTTACCATCCAAATAAACCACAGCTAATTAATCACACGGAAGTCCTGGGCTCTGATAAAGATCCTACCACTCTATTTTATTTCTTTGGATGCTGCAAAACAATTTAGCAAAGTTTTCTTAGTAGGGCTATTGCTTTTCTTACACAATCATGTGCCATTGCATGAGACCTTACCACTGATGCTCTATCAGCGTCAATGGCAGACCTTCATTTCAATAATAGGGCCCAGGTAATTCAACTTACTTGCAAATTTGCAGAGTTGCAAGAAAGCTAATTACAGTTGTAGTAGGTACCTACAAAATATGGGTGATGTCTGATAGTCAAAAATTTTCTGTAGTTTATTTTATAGTTTCTTATTTTATCATGTATATGCATGAAAGAAGGGCTATCTCCTTTATTTCCTAAAGGTTATTCAGCATCTCTTATAAAATTCTGTATTTTTTCCCAAGTGCTACAAGTTCCTTTTACAATATGCCACAGAAATAAAGAAAAGCTTTTTTTCTCATTTATACGATACTATGATTTGTAGATATTCAGTAAATGGAATTATTGGTCTTAATAATTTAAAATCTTGTGTACTTTTTGAATCCTTGAGAATTTTAGATTGTAGAAAAAGAACTATGATAGTATAGAAATGCAAATTCAATATTCAGGACTATCTAAATATGAATTTTTTGTAATATTTTAAATAAAATACATTTAATATATAAGAATTGACATGATACACTAATGTAAATCTCACAATTAGAATTGCATAATTGATTCACATCAATAATAGACCTATATTTGATGTTCAGCTATGCTTTTACTGACTTTCAAATGGTTTCTGTTTTGCTTAATTGGTTTGGATTTGCTCTGTCAGGTTTTTTCCCTTTATTTCCTCAGTGAGAAAGTTGCAGACCTGCTGTTTTATATGTCTCTGTTTTTTTTTTTTTTTCAAGAAAGAAAAAGGCAAGCAAAAATCTATGTTCGATTAAAGGCAGTTTATTCTGAGTTTATGAGCACTTCAAAAAAATGTCTCCTGCCTTCATTGAAGCATTATGAAAATCCCATAGTACATCTGTCATAGAAATTAGATGCTAGAAAATTCCATTAAAGATCATTATTTCTAAGATTATAATATTGGCTGTGTTCTAGAAAAATAGAGCATAATGTCATGAGGGCATCTTTCCCACACCCTTCCTCAATTGTTTTATTAGCTTATTCTGTATTTCTATTGGTTATAGATTGACTAGCATTATTCTTATATATATTAGCAAAATATTCTGATATTTCAGCAGCTTGAACGTGTTCATTTTTCCCTGAGTTACTCCTAGACTTAATTAAGAGAAACAACCTGGGGCCTTTTGTTGAGTGACCAGTCTTTACATTTTTAGCAAGAAGACTGCCTCAAAAAAAGTGCCCAAACAAGGATTAGACCATCCATCCATAGCAGTTTCTGTAATTAGTTATATATCTGCACAGCTCACAGTGTAATATTTGGACAATCACTCTGGTTACAATTTGTCTTTAATTTAGTAATTATGAGTTTTGTTTTTACTCTTTTTCCTATGGAGGAATCTTTTCTAGCTTCAAAAATATTTCAGAGTCCACCTCCAAGAAAATAATTCTTGCAGTTTTTTGAAAATATTATATATTATTTAATAGAGGGGTACTTCCTCCATTTCAGAAAAATATACTATGGGTTATTACTTTTTATCTAGCTGTTAATGATTGATCCTATGAATTTTCTCTTTGGATTTTTTTTTTCATCAGATAAATTATAATTTCTCATCTCTCCAGTTATTACCAACTCTGAAAATGGGTAATCTGTGGATATTATTGGAATAAAAATTATTTTAATATAAATTTGCATCTCTATTATAGGACACTTTTAAATTGTGGAGAAAAGCTTCATAAAAATCACATAAATAACAACAGGAAATTGTCCAATCAGTTCTGCTATACATGACATAAATGTTCCTTAAATTTATCTCACTATGCAAAATTGGAAATAAAAATCACAAGAGTTTGTGGGGGAAATAGGATTGGAGCATAACATGCAAAATTTGAATTAAATACACACAAATATAGAAGCCTAATAAAACTGATGGAATATTTCTACACATGCAAATGGTTAAGAAATATAAACGCTACAATAAATATGGACTTCACCTTGAAAGAGACCTAAGTTTGCTTATGGAAGAGGATGTTGGAAGAGTTGCAGCTTGGGAGTTACTGTGAAGAGGTGGAAGGAGGGTTATCTGAAATCAGACAGAAAATTGTAACACCAGATGTGGATGGGTATGGTCCCTAACACACATGGCAAACTGAGATACCTGTTAGATGTTTGAAGGGTTATGTGTATGTATTTTGTATATTGCTATGTAGCTTGGTTCATTGGATGCAGTTTTCTATAGTCACACATTGTTCCTCACAAGTAAAGTAATGCATAATTAGATGGGAAATTTGTGTCATGCTCAAATTTTTCCCTGTTAGTAATTCATGTTTTTAAAATAAGAGTTATGACAGAAGACTAAACATCTGAGAGACAGGCACTCTAACTTTCTAATTGAAGACGGTGAACCTAGCTGTGGTAAAAAAGAGGTGGCTATTTAATAATGTCACTAACATAAACATAATTAAATGACAACATTTTGATTTTTCTGTGTACCATTATGAAAAACTGAACATCAACCTCCCTGTCCAACTTGATTCATTCATTCACACTGGGTTTTGCACTGAGAAGTGACACCTTACTTGAAAGGGATATCAGAATTGGGAGGGCCACTTAGTAATCATGCAACATTTCAAAACCTTTTGTTTGTCTGCTTCCTTGTACTCTATCTCTGGAATTTGTGATTCCCAACCAGTCAGTACAAGCAACCATGGCACTGTATTCATTTAATGAATGAATATATTTAAGGGAGCAAATGAAAGTGTGGGACATGCAAAATGTATTCAACTATCCATTTCCTGTTGTACGTTTTTCTGCAAGAGCAAAACTCTTCTGTGATGTGTTGCTGTACTCTGAGAGAAGTTAACAAATATTGGTAGGGAATGGGCTTTGACAAACTGCAGTGCCTCTGTGGCCCTTGCACTGCTGTGCTTTCATATTCTGGAGCTAGACTCCAGTGTACAGAGTAGAAAAATAATAAGTTCTTTGAGCTGAAACTTCATAGTCACTGTGGGATATTCAAGAAGGAGACCAATGCGGAGAAAGATAATATAGTCATGGCTTTGAACTTTTCCTAGATTTTACTTGCCAGAAACCAAGCGAGAGTCACTCTGACACCTTATTATTACTAGCTCTCTTTCTCCATGTAGGGAAAAGTGCTCCACAGTCCATGTCAATAAAAGTGAAAGGGAGTTCACACATGAGAGAGAAGGTGGTCTGAATTTAGTGTGTAAAGGAAGTATATAAAGCTAAGATCTATTCCAAGCCTCAGCTTGGAGGCCACCTTCAATGGCAAGTCCGTCTTTTCCTTTCCCTCCGATTCAAGTAAGGTGCCCCTTCTTGCGTTTCCAGAACACTTTTCAGACTGTATTATATGTATCTGTTTCATTGTCGGGTACAGAGTAGGTGCTTAGTAAACATGTATGAATGAATGAATAAGCATTGGATCTCAGACCTTACTGTGAAGAGGAAGAGATAAAAGATAAATTTATAAATTGATTATGAGATAATGTGATGCATTATTGTAGAATGAACAAGTAATGTCCAAGAAAGAAGAGATCAAAGAGGGCTATAATTCATTCAGTCAACTGCTATCTGCATCCTGTTTCCCTGTGTTAGATGAACTAGTGGATTAGAAATATATAGTCCCTACAATCATGGAACATGTAAACTAACAAAGCACACAGACATTAAACAAAGAAAACATAAACATGTATAATTCACATTTTGATAATAATTATAGAGCATAACTGGGAAGACATAATCTATATGGGCAGGCAGGGAAGGCATTTTTAAGGAAGTGATATTTAAAAGTGATGATCGAAGATGAGGAGGGACAAAAGGAAGGATTAACTTGTGCACAGGCTGTGAAGGCATCAAGAGCTCAGCTGTGTGAGAAAAAGAGAGAAGGCTGAAGATGAGTGAGCTGGGTAGGCATGCTGGGCTGGCATCGTGAGTAGAGAAACAGGCTGGAGCCAGATCATACTTGGTAGAAGGTTTGGATTTTAACTGAGATGAGTTTGGATGCATTTGTCAAAACTCAGTGAATGTAAACTTAATATTTGTGAATTCTATTTTGTGTAAATATTGCATGAAAAAAATCTAAACAAATATTGAACTCTGGTTAATGATATACATGTTTAAATATTTACTGGGACGGTTCTTGGGTTTGTAATTTACATTGAAATGCATCAAAAAGATAAAATTGATAGAGGAGTGGATAAATATATAGAAGTATGATGAAACTAGTAAAGTAAGTTACTAATAAATTGAAGTGGTAGATATACAGATATTCACTGCAAAATTTCTTCAACTTTGCTGTATGTTTGAAAATATTCATAACAGTTTTGGAAAAAATAAATGCTCCAAAATGAAAATAAGGAGATATATAATAATCATACAAAATCCCAAAACCCAAAAAGAAGGATTATTCTAGGATATTACCATTTGATTCTTGCTCTGTGATTTTTTATTTTTATGGAATTGATACCTGCATTTTAAAATAATAAGCATATCTCATCACTTTAAAGAAATCATTTTAAATTATTTGCATCATTTTACATTACTTAAACTATCAAATCTTTGATGAGGTATTTCTTTGACTAAGTATAAACACAAATCTCTTAGACTAGAATGCATCAATCCTCAACTGTCCACCCAGTACCTGTCAGTGTGGCAGAAAGGAGGTGAACACACTGGAGTCTATTAGTGTAATCAGTTCTCAGCAGAAGATTCTACTTTTAAAGTTTTTTAAGATTTGTGGTTGACGTAACTGACATAAAAGAAAGAACAATTGTTTCTTTGAAAGTAGCTAAGGGTACCCAAGAGTCTCAGTGTATTCAGTAGTTTAGATTCTAACTTGTTTCTGTGAAAATGTAAGTAGCATAGTGTGAAGGCTGTGGAGCAGATTGCTCTTTTCCTTGATGAGTTGCTACCCACTATGAGCATTTTGCTGATAAATTAGTGCATCACACAATGTTAGAAGCCTTGTGCTTGATCTCCCCATGTTTTCAATGAAAACATTTCCCTTTTATTGATGTTTGTTCTTATTGACCCTTTGAGGTCAGAAGACAGAGTTTCTTTATTAAATCAGTAAATCAGGGGTATTTAATTGGCTCTAGAAACTTCTGAGTGGTTTTGGCCTATTCCAGCCCCAAACAGGGTTCTGACCAACCACTGTGAATTCTGCTTTTCCAGGAAGGTAGGGGGTGAGGGATTATAACAGGCTCTGTGTAAATTGTCACTTGCTCATTGCCTTCAAAGCACTGGTTTTCTTGGTGTAGGCAAAACGCCAAAATCAATGTTTTTGACTCACATAAAGAAATAGTTTAGCATTTGGAAAACTGTATGATTATCCCTCTTTTTCTGACAGGCCATCAGACATTTAAAAAATAAAATATGTCTTAGGTTTTTACAGAGGAACTTATTTTTATTCTTCATGTTACATCAAAAATAATGACATGAGTGTTGGCCTTAGCAACTGTGTTAAGATCAATGATACTGCAGGAACGATGAAAGTAGACTTTTATAATGAGAGCAAATGGCCCGGAGTCTGTGAGAAATTGCTGAGGATCCTTTTACCGTAGCACCATTGCTAATTAAAATCTAAGAATCAACACCAAGATTGTTCAGGAAACACAAATACTGATTGGAGAACCAAACTTGAGGGTCATTCCAATTTCTAAACTATCTTCATTGGAATTTAACTTTTTAAAAAATGTCTCCAAAGCGTCATAACCTCACTTCTATTCATTTCCTTTTACATCTCTTACATTTGTTTCCCTAGGCTTTCTGTTCTTGTGCTTGAGATCATTATTACTTGATACGGGGCAGTGACAAATGAGGGAAGCAATTTGTTCAGAAATCATGCCTGTGGCAAGTATTTCTAGACTGGAGAATGTAGCCTCATTTATCATCATCATTATCACTGAAAAGCTATAGGTCAGGAATGTCTTAAGTCCCCTGTGTTTCAGCATTGTCTATTAAATTGGGGTTAATTAAAATGTCTCTTCTAAAGGTACTTCTCTTGAATACACACACACACTTTAACTCTGGTCTTTTTTAGCAGAGCCATTACTCTATTTCCTGTAGGGAGGAATGGAATGACATGTGTAGGACATGATTTCATTTTTTAGACTAGAAAAGGAAAACCACCTAGAGAGTTGTGACCTTCAGACATGTCGACGGTTCTACTCCCATGTAAAGTCTATAGTCCACTTTTAAAACATTTTTTTTTAGTCTTTACCCCTTATTTTATTGATATTTTAAGAAAGGAAAAGTAGCCTCAATCTGTGTTTTTATCCTTCCTAAGAATATATTTCCCACTCTAGTGTTTCTGAAGTTAGAATACATAGGTATTAGCTGGGAAAATTATTTAAAGTACACATCTCTCAGCCCCATTACCAGAGATTTCAATTCAGTAAGACCAAGATGGAACCTAGAAATCTGAGTTTTAACAGGCTTTCGAGATGATTCTGATACCTGTGGTACTTGGACACATTTTTGAACTCTGCTTTCTACCATCACTATAGAGTGGTATGGGGGTGAGCATAAGGGGTGCTAGGAAACTGCACAGGAAGGGAACCTAAATTAAAAGATGGTAGCACTGAGATTCGAGCTGAGAGCTGAAGGTCGCATGGGAGTTACCTAAAGGCAGTTGGAAGTGCATGGGGTATGAGAGGGTGAAGACATTTTAAACTCAGGTTTACTTGAGTAAAAAGACATAGGGGCTAGAGAGAAAATGGTACTTTTAGGGTCCACAAGTGTATAAATCTGGATGAAGAATGATGTGTGAGTGGCTAAGGAGGTGGGATGTAAAGATGAGCTTGAAGAAGTGAGTGGAGGTCAGACTGTGAATTCCTCAAAGCCATGTTCAAGATTTAGGAAAACATCCTGCTAAACACCACTAGGACTTCTGTAAGCTGTGGAGCTCACCACCATTCATGGGTTCTTTCACGTTCTTAGGCTGCATATAGTCTTGGGTCTATCATCATGATAAAAGGAAAGCTGCTTTCAATGTAATTTTCATTTCCACTGCACCTTCCAAGGGTGAGACCCTACAGAGAAAAACAGGTCATGAAGTAACATGCAAGAGGAATGGCTTTGTGAATATATTTTATTTGAAGATAATTGGTACTTAATAATTCAAACAGCTTACTTCATTGACTTTGAACCATAAATATTAGGAAGAGAACACTAGAACTGTGGTGAGACAATGTCATGTGACAAAGATTAAAAGGAAAACAAATGGTCGAAGATTCCACCATTTGTGTTTTGTGGTGTGTATTTTGAAGTGCATTTCTTTTCTAATAGGTAATTGAAGGTAAACCAGGCATTTTTATCATTGATTTTGGGTACATTTAATCATGACACTTAAATAAATAATCATCCTCATCCTATTCCACAAATTAATGTTTGAATACATGTTAACCTTCCGACTGAAAATTATTTTAAAGACTTTTTGAAGTTCACAGCAAATTTGAGAGAGAGGTACAGAGCTATCCCACAGATGGCACTCCCTCCCACATATGCATAGCCTCCCTCATTATTAACATCCTGTACCAGAGTGGTACATTTCTTACAGTTGATGAACCTACATTGACACATCATTATCGACCAGAGTCCACAGTTTACATTAGGGTTCACTCTTACTGTTGTACATTCTGTGGGTTTTGGCCAATGTATAACAACATGTATCCATCATTATAGTATCATACAAAGTATTTTCCTTGCCCTAAATATCCTCTGTCTTCTACCAGTTCATCTCTCCCTCCCCACTAACCCCCAGCAACCACTAATCTTTTTACTGTCTCCATAGTTTGGCCTTTTCTAGAATGACATATAATTGGAATCATACAGTATGTAGCCTTTTCAGATTGGCTTCTTTCACTTAGTGGTATGCATGTAAGTTTCCTCCATGTCTTTACAAGGCTTGATAGCTCATTTGCTCTGAGTTTTTCAATGCTACCCCTACTTGTTTTCTCTTCCTGGTTAAGGATATGTGTGTATTTCAATATGTGCTTATGTGTCAATAACTGCCAGTCAGGAATGACAAGAATATATGTTAGAAATGTAAGAAAATTGCTAACTTGAGCTTAAATTGGATGTGTTGACTCCACTGTTGTGAATGAGGCTTCTTTGGCCCCGATCTGATTCGTGTCAGTATACAAACACCTCGAAATGGAAAGCTTACAGCCTGCCAGGAAGAATAATTTTTTTTCTTCTTTTTTTTCTCCATTTAACTTTGAAAGTGGGAGGATTTGAGTTTTTGATTGCCAAATAGCTGTCAACTTAAAACAACTAGATTTTATTTTCTTATAGTTAATTTCTTGATCTGGATCAAGTTCTGAGCAAGAAAACAACTACCACTGTAAACAGCTATTGGGGCAAGAAAAAGTGTACTTAATATAGTACAGACACAATCTGTGGTCTGTATGATTGGATGGTAAAATTCCAATTTGTTGGCTTGTTTTTTTTGTTTGTTTTTTTTTTTTTTTTTAAGAATCACTAAGTATTATTTAAAGGGAAGATCTGAAATGCTCCAGCAAGTAAAAATCAAATCCTTAAGATAGTTTTTAAAGACAGTTTCAGACATGTCATCTAAACGCTAGTTTTAAAGTGCTACCTAATGAACTAGAAGAGGCCTTGATTAGCAAATTTGCCTGCATTTGGTCTACTGAGTAGTGAAAGCCTTGTTTATGGTGGGTTCTGCTTTCTCAAGTTGCCCTCCTTAAACAAACAGAGCAAGAGCAGAAAGCTTTTAGATGTACAACATGAAGCCTTACAAGAAGCTGAAAGTCAGCCCATGAAAGAAAGGAGCTGTTTAGTGGGTTTCCAGTTAAGGATCTGGGTGGTGCTGGAAACAGAATGGTAGATAATAGACTCCTAGTGACGGGGCTGTCAGGAGATAGAAAACTGTAGCAGCTTTGTGGGAAAATAGAATTGCTGGGTTTGCCCACTTGACCTTTACTCTGAATAGATGGGCTTAAGAAGATCACAAAGGACTTTGCAAAAAAGTAGTCTGCTCAGTTCTTTTGGTGCCTGAAACTCCTTTTTAATTCTGGGGAGTTTTAAGTTTGTTTCTTGGTATTCTTAAAGGGATTCTGTGAAATCCCTATTGTCATTCCATAGGTATGTGTTTTAAATGAAGGCATTGCTCACTATATGGCCATCACATGTCCTGTGCAGCAGTGAAACTAACTGTTTATGGGAAAGGATTACTGAACAGGGACTCCAGCATCTGTACACTCCACATTATCACTCCTATCAAAGGCATTCATTGAGCCCCTTTCCATGTTTCTGGATAATTGCATAATCTTATTTAAATAAGAAACGCAATCACCATTTGAAGGCAAAATGTGTATCAAATGCATATATACTGCTATGTAGATGAAAGGCTTGCAGATTAATTGGCAGCATTTTCAGAAAATAGGGCTTGACAGTAGCAGTTCATGTGAAAAAGATCTGGGAGGTTTTAGTTAAGTACAAGTTGAATATGTGCCAAGATTACGATGTGGTGGCCAACAACCCAATTTAATCTCGTAATAGTTACATGTATAGAATTACAATTTTCTGCCCTAGGATGCATGGACACTGATTGCACATTTTAAAAATTATGTCCAGTTATGAACATCACACTCCTGGATAAAATTAGCAAGCTTGAGAATATACAGAGGAGACTGAAAACTCTGGAAAAAAAAAAAACAAAACCCTAAGCCCTTTAAAGGAATTGATCATAGTTAACATAGAGTAGAAAATCTAGCGATTTGGATGGAAGAGAAATGGTAGTCATGAATACAAATTTCAAATAGCTGAAGGCCTATTATATAGAAAAATATCATTTGTGAGTTTTCAGAAAATTTATAGTTCTTCAAACCACACATAAGAATAAATAACAGATGGATTAAAGAGACAGATGTGGGAAAATATAAAGAAACCATAAAAACTGCAGAAGAAAATAGAAGCAAATACGAACATACCTCAAAGATATTGTGGGTTTGGTTCCAGACCACCACAATAAAGCAGATATTACAATCAAGTGAGTCACGTGAATTTTTTGGTTTCCCAGTGCATATAAAAGTAATGTTTACACTATCCTGAGTCTATTATGTGTGCAGTAGCATTCTATCCGAAAAACAATGTACATACCTTAATTTTTTAAAAAAACTTTATTGCTAGAAAGATGTTCTTTAGCAAGTTATCATATTTTTGCTTGTTGAGGGTCTTGCCTTGATGTTGATGGCTACTGACTAATCAGGATGGAGGTTGTTGAAGACTGGGTTGACTGTGGCAATTTCTTAAAAATAAGAGAACAGTGAAGTTTGCCGCAACAACTGACTCTTCTTTTCATGGGCGATATCTCTATAGCATACAATGCAGTTTCATAGTATTTTACCCATAGTAGAACTTCTTTCAAAATTGGAGTCAATCCTCTCATACTCTGCTGCTGCTTTAGCAACTAAGTTTATATCATATTCTAAATCCTTTGTTGTCATTTCAACAATATTCACAGCATCTTGACCAGGAATAGATTCCACTGGAAACTACTTTCCTTGCTCATCCATAAGAAGCAACTCCTCATCCATTCAAGTTTGACCATGAGATTGCAGCAATTCAGTCACATCTTCATGTTCCACTTTTAATTCTAATTCTCTTGCTAGTTCCACCACATCTGCAATTGCTTCCTCCACTGAAGTCTTGAACCCCCTCAAAGTCATTCATAAGGATCACTTCTCCTCTCTAGCTATGAAAGTCCTACATGGCATCTTCTTCCAATATATGGCGGTTTTGTCTACATTAAAAATCTGTTGTTTAGTGTTGCTACCTTCATCAATAATCTTAGCTAGATCTTCTGGATAACTTGCTACAGTTTCTACATCAGCACTTGCTGTTTCACCTTGCACTTTTAAGTTATGAAGATGACTTCTTTCCGTGAACCTCATGAACGAATGTCTGCTAGTTTCTAAGTTCTTAGCTTCCTCAGTTCTCTCAGCATTCCAACAATTGGAGAGAGTTAGGGTCTTATTTTAGATTAGGCTTTTGCTTAAGAGAATGTTATGACTGGTTTGATCTTCTATCCAGACCACTAAAACGTTCTGTGTATCAACAATGAGGCTGTTTCACTTTCTTTTCATTCGTGTGTTCACTGGAGTAGCACTTTTAATTGGCTTCATGAAGTTTTCTTTTGCATTCACAACTCAGTTAACTGTTTGGCACAAGAGGCCTAGCTTTCAGCCTCTCTTGAATTTTGGCATGCCTTTCTCACCTAGCTTAATTATTTCTAGCTTTTGATTTCAAGTAAGAGATGTGCAAATCTTCCTTTCACTTGAACACTTAGAGGTCATTATAGGGTTATTAATTGGCTTAATTTCAAAATTGTTGTGTCTTAGGGAATAGGAAGGCCTGAAGAGAGAGAGAGATGAGAGAATGGCTCATTGCTGAAGCAATCAGAAAACACATAACATTGGTTGATTGATTTTACTGTCTTATATGAGTGTGGTTCATGGCACATCAAAACAATTACAATAGTAACCTCAAAGATCACTGATCAAAGATCACCATGGCAGATTTAATTATAATGAAAACTTTGAAATACGGCAAGAATTAACAAAATGTGACATAGAGATATGAAGTGAGCACATGCTATTGGAAAAATGGCACAGATAAACTTGTCCGACACAGGGTTGCCAGAAACCTTCAATTTGTAAGAAATGCAATATCTGCAAATACAATAAAGAAAAGTGCAATAAAATCAAGTATGCCTATTTCTAACTTCTTTTGGAGGTGGTATGGATGATACCGAATGAAAAAATGTAAAAGGAAGTGCTGCTAGTTATGATTAGGAATATCTGAATTATTAAAAAACTCTTTGAAGTTATAATAAAAATTTAAAACATGAAGCTGAAGAAATTATTAAAATTACATTTAACAGTACTTAATGGTATGAATAAATGTGCACAATATAATGTTGACTAAAAGATCTCTAGATCAAACTTTAATTTTTAAAGTTGAAATATATGTATTTAAATAACTACTAAGAAATCATTTTTAATCAATTTCTTTGGGTATTCAAATTATACGCTTTATGTTTTCAGAAAGGTATATAAAGTAATGAATATAAAAAAACAAGTGAGTCAATTATTTAGACTTTCTGAGTAAATAAAGTTAACAAGGCCGGGCGCGGTGGCTCACGCCTGTAATCCCAACACTTTGGGCGGATCACGAGGTCAGGAGATCCAGACCATCCTGGCTAACACAGTGAAACCCTGTCTCTACTGAAAATACAAAAAAATTAGCTGGGCGTGGTGGCGAGCGCCTGTAGTCCCAGTTACTCGCGACGCTGAAGCAGGAGAATGGCGGGAGCCCGGGAGGCGGAGCTTGCAGTGAGCCGAGATCGCGCCACTGCACTCCAGCCTGGGTGACAAAGCGAGACTCCGTCTCAAAAAATAAAATGACATAAAGTTAACAAAAATAAGATATTTCTAACAATTATACTTTTAACAATGTCTTATGGCCTATGGGCTGTCTCCTTCATTAGAAGAATTTGTGTAGAAAATCACTGTAAATCTGAGATAATATAGAATAGATTTCCTATGGTAGGAAGGGATCCTGTATTTGGTGATCTCAAACGCCTTTTCAATACTGACCTTCTAGAGGGGAAAGGCAATTTACAATTTGAAACATTTTGCAGATTGGAGTGGAAAAGTGACAAGTAACATTGAAATGCCTAATTTCAACTTTAGACATTTTTGAAATGAAAAAAAATGTAAGTCCAGAGACTTAAAATGATCAAGAATACAGCCGACTCAAATTTCCTGAAGCCTAGTCCGGTCCTTTCCCTTCCGGTAGAGACAGAATAGTTTGGTGGGTAAAAGTGTCTGGGTTTGAATTTAAGTTAGGAGCACCTCCTGTTTCTAGACTTCCCTGTGCCTCAGTTTCCTCATCTATAAAAAATCTGGGGCGGGTGCGGTGGCTCACTCCTGTAATCCCAGCACTTTGGGAGGCCAAGGAGGGCGGATCACGAGGTCAGGAGATCCAGACCATCCTGGCTAACACAGTGAAACCTGGTCTCTACTAAAAAATACAAAAAAATTAGCTGGGCGTGGTGGGGGGCACCTGTAGTCCCAGCTACTCGGGAGGCTGAGGCAGGAGAATGGCATGAACCCGGGAGGTGGAGCTTGCAGTGAGCCGAGATTGCGCCACTGCACTCCAGCCAGGGCCACAGAGCAAGAAGCTGTCTCAAAAAAAAAAAAAAAAAAAAAGAAAAGAAAAAAAAAATTCTGAAGCCCTGTTACATAGAAAAATATCATTTGTAAAAACTTAACCGTACTTACAATGTTGCTGAGAGAATTGAGCACTTCAATATATATGAAGCCGTCAGCCAGTACCCGAAATATGTGAGAAATCGGTATTTCCTACTCTTCATACACTGTGTATATATACACAGACACGTATATATGGTAATTTTGGTATTTCAATTTTGGCTTCCGTGTGTACACACACACATACACTTGGAATGAGGGGTGGGGGTAGGGAGGGATGTCAAAGGTTATTCCGGTTTATTTTTTTATTTTCATGTTATCTTAGTACCTTCAGAAGTCACTCATCAGGGTCTTCAACATTCAATATGATTTACTAAAAATTCCATGAATCAGTGAGAAAAAATAGAACCCTTTATAATTTCCCCCATTTAAAAGGTGACACATTTTTACATGTGAATTAATGCTGACCTTTTTATTTAGAGTTTAATAATATTTAATTTAGTTTGTGGAAACTGATCAATTTTGTTATATAGTTTTCCACCTTAAGACCATCTAGATTGGGCCATAAGCATATTTCTATTCATTTTAGAAACAATAATCACTATACTAAAATGTTTGTTTCCCTTTTGTGTGTATCCTTAACTTTAGAAGATTAAAAAGATGTTCGAGAACGTTTACCCCAGTGTTACTATAGCCTGGCTCTTAATCACACCAATAGAAATGCTGACATGTACATGAACTTTTCTGTCATGTGTGCAGGAATGGGCACAGATAGAGTCTGCACCTTTTACAGAAAAAGCCTTAGATGACTTATGCCTCTGGAAATGTACTCTTCATTTTAAAAGACATTTCTTCTAAGTCTTCTTTAAATGTCTTCTGTGTGATTTATCTCCCCAATTTCCAAACATTCTAAATACTGAAAGACGAAAATCTCAAAATGTATTTATTTGGAATGGTAAAGAATACCATGGGAACTTTTTCTGTCTTTTTGAATGTATTTTATTGTGACAGCTTTTTCAGATCTTGTAGTGATCCATGGATAGAATCCCTCACATACAATTCCATGACCTCGTAATTCCATGGCGTTACTTACATTTTTAAAGTATAACTGCATTGAGAAAGGTGAGCTGAGAGCAGGCAACTTACTTTCTCCTGCCATACAGAAACAGCCAGTGGGCTCAGCTGCCAGGGAACACAGGTGGATAATCCCTGTGCTTTCTGGGCAGCATGGCCAAAGCACTGTTGTCTTTAATGCCACAGAGGTCCAAAATACAGTTTTATGTCCTCCAATTCCCAGAGAGAAATTCCTGTCAGTCTACTCACATGATTTTTAGGCTCAGGAAATTCTCTCTAGCAAAAGATACAATCCTCTCATATAGTAAGTGTTATGGTTGCAATGGGGCTTGTCAAGGGATTTGTCTGCATTAATAAAGGTATTCCCTGGGGTAGTGGGAAAACGTCTCATTGTTGAGCAGAGACCATCACCACTTTATGTATATTTAATAATAATGCTGTTCCTGAGCTTTCAAAAATCAACAAATTTAAAATTCTGAAATTGTAGACTGCTATTAATATTTTTGTATTATATGTGCTATGCCTAATCCCAGCGACCTTCCTCATAGTATTCATGTTTTGGTTTGTTTGGTTTTTTTCTGCATCTGGAAGAGGAAACACATATAACCACACATGTGTGTGCAAATACGCATATAAATGCAGCAGAATTATCCACTGGCAGCCATATTTGCCAAACTAATTAAAGAGAATAGCGTATTAACATGCACACCGTAAAGCAAACTCCATTCTCTGTAGAGCATTCTCTCACTGAGATACAAGGACTTTATCTTTGCACAGTGGGTCTGAACTAATTGAGATGTCTTAAAAAACAAGTCAGTTAAGAAGGTTGAGGCGACGGATGTTGTTGCAGAATTGTCAGTTTGCAAGAAAACATTCTTTGGAAAAAAATACAGCCCCCGGTTGCAAATCTAATCAGTGGCGGGTATGGGAGGTGGGGAAGAGAGCATAGAGAGAAAAAAACATGTCTCAAAGAGAAAAAAAGAGCAAGACCCTAATTGAAATGGGAAGCATTCTCATTTTAGAAAATGTTTTCTTAACAGATTGCTTTAGCCCTCTGCCTTAAGGTTTTTGATTAAATTAATGATGGGAGTGATAAGCTCCATTAGTGTTGCTGTTTCCAGAGGGAAATTGTCTACAGCCTACTCTTTTCCTTCCTTCCCCAAATCTCAGGTATGACAATAGAATTGCTAATTGAGACCATAACATGCCAAGAAGATGAACTTAATATTACTATGCAAATGCAGACAATCCAGGAAATTAATATTTCATGTGTGCCTACCTAAACGAGTAACGTTTCCATTATGGGCTTGGTGTCACTCAGCTGGGAAGCTGTTGCTGCAGCTTGTTGTCGTCAGTGAGGTCTTGAACTTCTCTTTTTTGTTTCATGTTGCCTGCTGTCTTGGGACCAGTCAGCACATCTGACATGTGCTCTGTTGGCCCTTGCTGTTACCACAGATCTTTTGCTAGTGCAAATAAATGAAGTTGTTATGATCCATAGGACATTATCAACTTGATTTCCTGTCTTAGTAGTAAAGTATTAGAGAAAGAAAAGCAGCTAAGTCTTCGATAATAAAGAGGAAAAAATATGTCAGTAAAATGAACCATAAAATCCATAATAGGAGATATGATGGGGACTTTTCCATGCAACATAATTAGCAGACTGAGTGCTCTCAAAAACACAGTAAGAAGAGTGTTACTTTGAGGGCCTGAAATAGTTATAGTAAATTATTCATAAACGTGTGTTTGTCAAACATGATTATATTTCATAATCTGATGAGAACTATTGTGTTAACAATTAGCAGTGTGTGTGTGTGTGTGTGTGTGTAAAAGAGAGTGTATAGTAGGAGTATGAAGCAATCTTGGTTTTAACATTCTGATTCTTGTTTTGAATGAAATATCAAATAATAGATATCTCCTTAAGAGCAGAAACCAAAACAAATCTTTGAAAAAAAAAAAATCTACCATAGTACCTGAAAGAACAACAAGCATTCAAATAGATGTTCGATAAATATGTTGGATATAATTTATTTTTACTTTTCCAATTTTGTTGAAAAATAGATGTATCCTAGAAATGAAGGGTGGCAATGTAGGCCAGAGAACAGTGGGCTTATTGGGGTCTCCCCTGTTCTCTCTTATGCTGTCTGTCTGCATGGCCAACCTTTATGAAGAATAAACTACAGTTATACTACAGCTATTCTATAGTAAAGAAACTTTTAGAGGAACTAGAGTCATAAAAATCTGTTCCAAAAAGATCACATGGAAGTGATTCTGATGTAAAATTTTGAGGATCCAGTATAATTTGTTTGGATAGAAATGACTGGAGAGGGGATTTTAGGTTGAAAATACATGTCTAATAATGGAGAAGGGGAGAAGTCTTGGTCCTATTTGCCCAGATGGAGTGAAAAAGCTGAACAAGAACATTCTAGAGATTGAAGATAGGATTCTTAGAGAACAGGTCCCAAATTTTAAATTCTAATAGGTAGCAGATCTGGAATTAAATGCCAGGAAGGCCTTGGTTTTAGGCTTCATAATCTTAAGTGCTAATCCCATGATTTTATAGAATTTGATCAAAGCAGCTTTTGTCCTTATTTAGTGGAAACTTTTCTTCATTATAAAGTTATGCCTCTTTTAAAATGTAACCTGGATTATTTATATTTCCCTTTTCTAGTCCTTCTTTGAGTCTCATGTATCTTTTCCATGTCACCCACAGTGATGGTGTATTCAGCCACAGATGCCCCCTGTGAAAGATAAGATAATGTTTTCTACCTTTTTATTGAAACCAGTTTTTCGTTGAAATTGTTTACTCTTATAGGTCATTGTTGTAAAATCTAAAAGGCAATTCCATTTAAAAGAAGGAAAACAAATGGACTAATGAGTTTAGGCCAATTTAGAACTCTAAAAAATATTTTATATATTTTAGCATATGCATCAATAAAACATAGTTGCATAAGGTTTTATTGGGACATATTTATCAATTCCCTTTTAAAAATAAAAGAGTGTAAGGGCTAATAACTAGAACAAATTAGATTTGTTAAATCTCTAGACTTATGAAAATATTGATTATTTTATTATGTGTCCCCATTGACACAAATATGTCTAGCATTCTCAATGAAATTGCTTACACAGTAGACTAAACCTTCCTGGATTTTATATTAGACATGAATGTAACAACAAAAAATAACAAGAATTAGAACCTAAAGTTACTGTCTTGGTACTTGTTCAATGAGCTTTCATCATATTTTGGAGGGAATAGGTGGATAATATTTTCCAATAAAACGTTTAACCTGATCCATCGTTTTTCAAACACACAGTAAGTGTAGAATAAATTAACACATACTAATTGCTTATGGATGCTTTGTTTTCGCATCTGATTATAGGTATTCATACTTAAGACATCTCAAGAGGAAATGTTGATAATGTCATTTCTTTGTAATAAAAAGACAGACCATCAAAATTGTGGAAGTATTGTGTTATAAGATATTTTTAAACATAAAAAGCCATTGTAAAAAATATCCATCCTGTCTATTTCTGTAAGAACATCTGAGCTATTCCGAGCTTACATTTTAGGAGTTAAGTTCTAGAGGCCAATGATCCTTTGTTTGGGGTATTGAATATTATCTAGTATATCCAGTACAGGTTTAAGAGTAGTTGCTATTTTATAAATGTTCAACATGGACCAGAAAAGCATCAGTCTATAAATGGATTCCTTGGGCCCAGAGCTCTGACAGAAGAAAAGTTTGAGTGTTTGGGGGTAGTGGGGTGGTGACTGCATTACTATATTACTGCAGCATTTCTGGTTTATGTACAGTAGCACTCAATAAATATATGTTTACTTTAATTGAGTAGGCATAAATAGCATTCACCAGAAATCCTTTGCTGGCAGCCAGCTGCATTTGACTGCTGAGAGCCATAGCATATCCTCTCTGAAGTTGGAGGGAACACAATCTCTTTTCAGTGTTCACCTTTTCTCAAAAAGCCAGAAGATCAATTATGATTTCTTTATGTTCACAGGTAAAATGGTTTAACAGAAAGTAAATTTCATATTATCATAAAGAACCCATGGGCAAAAAGGCAAATGGAGTAAAATGCTAGGTTTTATGACAGTTATTAGAGAATTCTTAAGGGTTTTTATCTATTTTAAACATTAAGAATTACTTTTTTCCATATATGTTGACATTATGGGGTTACCTTATCATCTTAACTTCCCTGATACAAAACTGAGGAAGCTTGGTGGTATACTTAGAGACCAACAAAAGAACCACCTGGGGATAATCTTTCTCCATCTCCACCCATCATTTAACACCAATTTGATATCAGTGTTTCAGCTGTTCGAATACTGACTTATCTAAGGAAGTCTATATTTTTGTTTATATTATTTCAATTCTAAATATCTCTTTATGGGAAAAAATAAGAGATGCTTAAATATTGAAGATCATCGTGTCTCATCTAATGAGGTGGATCTTCCAGAATCAGACTAAAGGCAGATATACAGAAAGTGAGCACCAGGAAAACATTCTGAAGTCGGGGCAGGAGGCAGGGGAAGGGCAGAACAGAGGAGGAGGAATGGAGTTCGTCCTAGACTTTGGGCTGCACATGTGCTGTGAGAAATTGGTATTGGCCCCTGATTGTGATGAAGAACAGGGACTTCTCTGTAATTGTTTATCATCTTTCTAAAGAAAGTTGGATATTTTTTTATTACCACTGAAAGCTTCACATGTTCTATGTAATGGCTAGAGGTATTTGATAACATGTTTTCTATTTTTCTTTTTCTAGTTTTTAAATAGATGGTCAGGAGTCAGAGAGGCATGGACAGCTGGTGCTTACTCAGTAAATGATATTCATGTTATTATAGTAAAAAGTAGGCCTCAAGTTACTATAAATATTATACTTCTCAACCCCAGAATGGCATCCCTATTCAAATATACATTTTAGATCACAGCATGATTACTTGTAATACATTTTGTTTTCATCATTTCTTTCTTAATTTTGTTTCTTAAAATTCCTAACCACATTTAGTCTAAAAATTGCTTAAAAGATAATGTAACACTTCTCCTGGTTTACAAAAATTGTCAATGAATCAAAGTGAAAAACCTCTTGTCATCGCGTTTCTAATGAAACTTGTATAATTTTAGAATTGAACATTGAAAGAGAACAATAATCACAAACTGATATTTCAAAGAAAAATGCAATTGCTTTGAAATGTAAATTATTCACTATAGCAAGACTAAGGCTGTGAAAATATGAGTCTAAAGTCCTGGAGGTTAGGTCCTCACTGCTCCTTCACCTAAGTGGAGGAATTGTCCCTAAGATGAATTTGGAAGAAGCAACCCATTCTAAAAACAGTTCCCCAATGACTTTTTGCTCATTCGCTAACCTACTATCACACCACATGGAAGAAGGAGTCACCATAAAGTTTCTAATCACTTCTTGAGACCATTAATTGCCTTAATATATCAGTAAGTCATTTTCTTTGGAACAAAATACAGCAAGAGTCTAACTGATGCTCAGAGGGACAGGAGTAAAGGTGCAGGAAAGGAAGCACAGGAAAATGAATTTCAATTGCTTTGTATTATCTGTGTTCATATATAGTTGTTTTAATTGTGTTTGAGAACAGATCAAAGGAGAAGAAAGAATTGATGTGGTGATGATAAACAACAGCAACCACATTTTTAGTTGGACTTGGCACGATGTCAGAAGCATACACGCAGTCCTATGTGTGCACACTCACCTACTCACCTACTCATTCCCTTTGTGCCTGCCCCCGTTCCTTCCTGCCTTGGCTCTGCCTCATACATAATCATCTTATGCATAAGGAAATACAACTATGAAATGTTATGTCAATTATAGAGATTTTATGTATTGCTAATT
Organism: Homo sapiens; assembly: GCF_000001405.40. Lineage (NCBI taxonomy): Eukaryota > Metazoa > Chordata > Mammalia > Primates > Hominidae > Homo > Homo sapiens. The sequence goes on along the minus strand of NC_000004.12, from coordinate 95,417,576 downwards.
AGCTTAGGAACTGAAGATGCTTGCCTCCTTTTTTCCCTAAATTGGTTTTTAATCAATCTGAACAGCATCCCAAGGAAACATTTTGAAAGAGAATTACAAAATGGTCATCAGGAAGATTTTTCCTACTCACTAAATGTGAAAATCACTATGCAACAAGTGCATGATGTCAAATACTAGAAGTTTATTAATAATGATAATAACAATATAGGTCAAAGAGCTCTGTGCGTGTGGAGACATATTTAAAACAAATGATTAAACTTAATGCACATTCAGGACTTACGGGGCTAATATCTGTGAAAAGATTTATTAAATCTCCACCTGGCAAAATCATTTCCATGTGCAGTTCATTTTCCGGTGTGCCATTGAAGCTCTAAGTCTTCATACTGCAGAGATCCCGACGGCACTCATTTTGAAATGTATTAAAAATATATGTAAGAGCAAGAAAAGCATATGGAGTTCATTCAGCCCAGTTTTTTGTTCAACAAACTTGGATTTAAATCTTGCTTCTCACACTTACCTTGGGCATGTTCCTTGGCCCCCTTTTCTCCCCAGTAAGAGAATTGTCATAGAATCTACCTTATAAGGCTATTCCAAGAATTAAATGAGACTACAGACTTGTCACTCTTTAAATTTCTGGACCAGAAGTGAGCTATCATAAGCATTCAGTAGCTCTAATATATGCATTCAGTAAATCTTTGTTGAGTGTTTACCTGGTGACAGGATGGGCACTCTGCTAGCTGTAGGGTCCTTTCAAACAGCTTTACATTGCACACGCTATTAAATTCTGACTTTTTCAAGAAGTACAAGCTATTTAATTATATCAGGTATTTGGTTCTGCTGCTCTGTGATTTGGACATGGCATGTGGACATTTTGATAATGATACCATAGAAGTTTTGAAAGTGAAAGCATATTTTTGCAATGCTGATAAAAGCATATTTATGTGAACTGGATCTAACTGTCCTAATTGTCCGAATGTCTCCATTTAACCTGAATCAAATAATACCTGTTTTTCACTTTCACATATTATTTTTCTTTCTACCTCCTAGCCAGAGAATTCATGTCGCACTTAATATGACAGCAGAGGAGTGCCATCATACCCGCACCCTTCTCCCCTCACTTTTTTCTTTGAGACTTTATGCTAGTCACTGTCCCCAAGATACTCCCTACTGTTCCACTCAGTTCCTACAGGCTAATACTGTTCAAGGATGAACTGAGGAATGAACCTGTCTTAAACTAAACTTTCTAGTTCTTTAGGGAAGCTACAGTGCACATCACGATGTAAGCACTTCCTCACTCTAAAAATTCTTATTTAGCCTGTATTCTTTCCAAACTCTTAGTCTAGTCCCTAAAGTAATACTGACAGATGTTTCCTTGGTCTCTGCTGACCAGCCAGCCCATTCTGTAAAATAAGCACTTAAAGGTTCTTCCTCACATGGGCTTAAATCTTTCTACTTTCCATTCTCCAGCTATTTGTCTGCCCTCCGAACATTCACAAATAAATGTATTCCAAAGACTCCCTTCCCTTGCTTATTTTTTCAATTTTATCTTAACATGCCCATTTCCATCACGTTTTATATGATCTGATTAGCTTTGAAGTTGGGGATTGGGGGATGAGAGGAGACATAATTGTCTTTCAGTTATTGCCAGAGTGAAAAAAAAAACAACAATTTTAAAAAGTGACTTTCAAGGCACTTGAAATGTGGTCTCAAAGTAAAGATCTTTGTTTAGAATGATAGGATCATTCTTAGGGTTGCCATTTAACGCCTGTACTTTCTGAATTTAAGCAATAAACCTACTCTAGTTATTCCATACTTTCTAATTTACTCATCATGGATGAGTAAATTATAGCAATCCACGAAGGTTGCTAACCATCAAGTTGTTTTGGGAATGAGTTCTGATGCATATAATAACCCTATTTTAAAAATCAAACTTTACAAAAATGAGTCATCAAACTTACGAAAACCAGACAGTTGACCTTATGAATAGTGTGTAAATAGTGACCAGAGACAAGAAAAGTGGCACATAAACAACCCTCAATAAATATCAACTCAATCATTAAATGATTTTCATCTACTTGCCTTTTTTGTTTGCTTCTTTGGTTGGTTTTCTTAAGGACAACTCCAAGAGTTTGCTATGAATCATCTGATCCCTCCTCTGAGATTTGGTTTCAGAAAGCCACGTTAGGGATAGGAAGCTGTAGGGTTTTGTTTTGTTTTTTTTTTAACAATTTTAATGATATCTTTTGCTGAGCTACTTGAGGATCACTGCCCTCTTGTATTTGGGAACTTTGAAGTAGAAAGCTGTGACTAAAAGAAGAAAGTAGGAGGGTGCCAATAAATGTAGACTATGTTGAGACAAATATTAATGGCAAATGAAACTTTTGCATGCCTAGAATTTTAGAAAATTATTTACTTGGTTCTTTTACATGCATGCTTCTGGTGATCCCTTTAAGAGTTAAAGGAGTCTGTGACAGCTCTGGCTAAAGTATCCAGAAGACAAGAAAAGAAAGAAATCCTTGGCTGCGATGGCCCAGGCTCAAATGGATTTATAATCAAGGGAGAGGCTTACAGTTATATGAATTTAATATGATGAGTAAATATTATTGTACTGAAGATTTGGATTTTATCTTATTTCCCACTTGTAAAAGAAAGGTCACAATAATCTCCAAAATTCTTTTCTTCATCTTTTCAGCATAATTATCCAGATCATTTTCTCTCCTTCACTGCACTGTATAACCTCCTTGAAGAAAATGTGTTTAAGTTCAAAGACATTTTCCTGAACCTGAATAAATTACCTCAAAATAGTAGGTTATGGGTTTCTGCCTCTCATTAACATCATGTGGATAAGGTTATAGGCATTAATATCCTCATATAGAGGAGAATTTACTTTAAATGTACGTGTATATTTTATTAGAATAGAATGTGGACTAAGGGTTAGAGAAAGCTGACATCACGAAGTGTTCACATCCCTGTGGCCACACAGTAATAAGCTCTGTGTTCATGTTAAATACAAAAACAGCTTGGTCTAAGGACCTTCGTTGCTAGGTATTTTCTTTATACTCTGCTTTTGCCATCATCTGCCAATAAATTCAGGTAAGACCTCCCATTGCCTAACAGAATTTAAATCACTGCTGACAGGCTTCACAGGAAAGCCACCCGAGTGGCCTACTCAGCTTGTGTCTGGGGACACTGGCAAGCCACCCGGGAGGTGTTGGCAGCATAGAGTGGCCTTTGTAGGAAGTGTAGACCCTTGGACCCTTGCTTAATTTCTTCGTCAGTATGACCCTCCATCTTCTTTTTTCTTATCTGCTCTTTTTTGGTAACTTTCTCTCTCTACCAGACCTATTTTTTGTGGGGGGGAGGTGGGGAAAAGGGGAAGGAAAGGGCAGAAACTGCAACAGGAAATTTAAGGGGATTCCAAATATCTGATAAAAGAACCTCTCCTTAATTTCAGATTTACTTACCAACCATTTGAGCTATTGAATAAATTAACCTGGTGTGATATTTGGGGGTAACACATACATCTGATCAAAGAGAAATTGGTAGTTGCCCATGTGCCTCCACTATTTAATAAGATACTGACATATTTGGCTCTGCATTTGGATCTGAGTGCAAATTATGGAACAGCTTTTCTTTGATGGTAAAGACACAACCTTCCCATTTGCAGGCTGTCTCTTGCATAGAAAAGGACAACCAGGGAGCTGTTCTGCAGCTAATTTGACACCTGTACATTTGCAGGGTGTGCAGTAGGGAGCTGTGTAGCCAGATGACCCAGGTAGCTGCTATAGAATATTTATGTTCTTCTGCTTTCTTGGCTGTTGCAGGGACTTGCAAATAGGCTACGCGGAAATGGTTTCAACTAGTTGAGAGAAACATGTTTTTAATGAACAAGTGTTATTATTTGGAAAGGAACAAAAATGAGGTAGAACACAGTCCCAGAAAACACTTTCCGCAGTCTGTGTAGCTTTCAAACCTTCATTTCCACCACTGGGAAGATGAATTCAGTTGATTATTCTGAATCGTATTATATTCAATAAAGTGCAAAGGTAATAAGACCCTCCATACAAATGTGGCATAATCAGAATAATTAGATGTTAGATGATGCCTGGATGATGAGCTTGATGAATGGCAATTCTGAAAGGGAGTTTGGCCTTCTGTAGGAGATTGCTGGCAGCCAGGCCCCACCATGGGTGGGCCTTGAGAAAGCAAGGCTGAGGAGGCAGCAGGGAAATATAGGTCAGCACTCTTGTGGGCATCTCCAGAGAGCTAGGAAAATCCTGCTTGCGTTGCATTTACAGTGCTATGAGAGATCCTGGAAGCAGAGGAGGAGAGGCCACTGCAGAAAACTGACCAGGGTTTGCCTCAGGATTATGAAAGCAAATTATAACTCCAACAAATCAAGGAAAGCTGTAAATCAGGAGGTTGGAATGTGGCAAGGGCTTTGGCATATGAGTTTGGGGAACTGAGTGTGGTAAAGAGGGAAGGTGAGTTTATCAGAGGGTCACATGGGATTCATTCTTTGCTTACCAATATGTTTTGTACCTGTGAAATAAAAAATTTCCCTCTTGACTTTTGTTCAATTCGCAGAAGTGAAGGAAGTCGAGAGAGAATCCTGGGTATGTAGATGGAAAGTAAGTACTCATGCCAGGGAAAATTAGGAAGCTGACAAAGTTGCTTTAATCCTTCTCTACTGTTCCTGTCCATGCCAGCCTCACCCTTTTGCTACCTGGCCTTTCTCTTACCACCTATTTCTTGCAACGTATGCTCTCCCATTCTTTCTGTTGACAGCGGGAACCCAAAAACTACTTCAGGGTCAGTTGGTGACTCATTGTGTTAACTCTCACAAGAATATTTACATATTAATTGTCTTACATGAATAAGGCAATAAATCATGTATGAAATAAATTGTAAATGGTAGATTTTCAGGCATCAGTAATTTTTTTGTGGGGGAGACAATTGACTTCACACTGTTTCTCATATCATACCAAATCTGGTGACTTCTCAGTGTATTCTTAATATATTCATTTATCCAACAAACATCTATCGAGTGTCCATGATTCTGTGTCAGGCACAGCTCTCAATACTTGAAAAACAACCTCAAGATAAAGGTCAGTTCCTTCAAGGAGCTTCCAGTCTAGGATTGGAGGGGACCTAACATGAGATTGCCATCAAGTGTGAGAAAAGAAAAGCAGGGTCCTTGGAAACCTCCCCTGGCACAGCTGTGCCACACAGAAGGTGTTCAGGGGGCACATTCTTCATGGAAAATACAATATTAATATGAGATTGGAATTTTGTGTGGAGCGATATTAACGTGGTGAAGAGGATTGAGAAGGGTAGTTTGGAGAAGATGGAGAAACAGGTACGAACATTAAAAGGCTTAAAGCAGCACACTCTGGAGAATTACAAGTCAGTTGGCATGACTTGAATGTGAGTGTTGAGGAAGAGAGGAGTAATGACCAGAGATGAGATGAAGAAGCTCACGCAGGACACTATGCCAACCAGGAAGTGGGCATTTATATTGTAAAGAAATAGGTCAGATTTAAAGCAGACACTGACATGACTAGAATTAGGTTTTAGGAAAAAAAAAAAAAAACATTCCACAGCATTATGGAGAAGTGGTGGGAGAGAGTGATGACAAGAGGCCAGGGAAGGCCACTTAGGAGACTCTGGCAGTTGTTAGGCAAGAAATGAGAAGGTCCTTAACGAAGACAGTAGCAGTGGATACAGGCAGGAGAGGGCCGGTTGGAGGGAACACAATGACTAGTCTGAGATCCAGTTACCCCTGCTGAAATCCATCAGAAAAGTTTCAAGTTAATAATTAACTGTATTCTCCTAAATATCACTTAGCCAACTAGTATGATTTTAAATTTACAAAGAAAAGAGATTGCGATCCAATTTATGAATTTCTAATCTGCCTAATTTCCTCCAGTGAAATGCAAGTTTGTACTGCAGTATGTGAATTATTTAAAATACATGCACTTTTCCTGTAGTGTGCAGATTTACGGTTGGATACAAAACAGCCTGATGCTAAACATATGTGAACATTCATTTTTGAAAATCAGGAAACCAGAGAGTTACTATTTCCTGCAGGAACTTCTAAAAGAAACCAAAAAAGTAACATAATGTGCCAGAAAGCTCAAGGGAATGGATAAAGTAAATTGCAAGGTTGGGAAATGTGGCCACCCAAAAGAAGATAACTTTCTCTTTAAAATTCTGCACTATGTACCCCTAATCAGATAGGCTGAGTGACTTACAGAGGATCCTTTGTGGACATCTGAGGGTTTTTTTTGCCCCCTAGACCAAAAACATAAATCTTGTTCCTCTAATAAAGACGTTTCAGGCAGAAAGTTATGATAGTATACTCAATATCTTAAAGTTAGATATGCCAAGACATTGGAAGACATCCATCTTCCCTGTCCTGGTCATTCTCTGGTTTGTCCCGAGGGGCTGTGGCATGTGTTTTCTTTGAAATTTTCAATAACAGATAAGAAAATAATTTCTTTTGGATCATCAGCTTCCCCTGCTGAACTCCTGCTAGGTTGACTTGTAGAGACAATTAAACCAAGCATTTGCCAGTTTAGGTGGACATTGTTATTGCAGCATTTGTCCCTTTCCTGACAAATTACATTATTCCTCTGCCCTCCAAACCATTAGAAGGTCCAGAGGGAACCAGGTGGTGGTGAGGAGGGGCTGATCTCACATTTGTCAACCCTGAGGCAGAGCTAGGCTGAGTGTCCAACTCCCTTTGATTCTGTACACTGGGCGAGCAGGGTGGGGGCTTGATTGGGGTAGGATCCACATTTGAATGCTGTCATTTGCTTCTGAGCAGAAGGCCATCATCTCTAGTGTTCAGAGTGAATGTGATGCCCCCAGATCTGTTCAATAATTGCCCTGATTTCTGCCTGAGGCTTGACTTTCTTCTAGCTAAACGCTGCATCCCCTAACACTCTCCCCCAGTACTAACAAAGTGGCTCTTTCATTCTGCTCTGGGCGGTAGCAGCATCTTTTGCCTGCACTTCAGCTCTGAGTCTGATTCAGCATCACAAACTTCCCTTTGTGAGCATCTCTGACTCCACCCTCTTCTCTTCCTCACTGAAAAATAATGGGGTATTTTAGTGAACGCTGAAACATCTGTTGAATTCTAAAGAAGAGGTGGAGTCTTAAATAAATGTGCATAAGTAAGAGAAGGCAGGTAACCCCTTGGGTGAAATCCATTTGTCTTTTTTCCTTTTTTCTTTTCATTAATGAGACTGGGACCTAGTAGGAGGTATCATGCATTTAGAGTGGTACAGGGACATTACAACCCAGTGGATTAGGGCTGGTTTTAGGAACATGCAGATATAATTAAGAGGTGCATCAGTCCAGGACAACAGTGCCTAACTTCTCTGAAAATCAGCGGTGTCATCTGCAAAGAAGAAGGAGTAATACCCTCCTTACAGGCTGGGGTACAAGTATTATATAATACATAGTAAGGTACTAACATGGCATGCTAAACACCCCAAAATCACTAGCAGTCACTATTTTCATTGCCATGGTTGATTTTCTGCTTACACTGTGATCATCTACTATAAGAGGGTAGAGCCATCAGCCCACTGGGAGATTGGGTGTGGAAACATTGGTTTAACGTTAAGTCAGCTGAGCTACACAAAGCCCCTCATTGATGTCAGGCCAGCCCTAGGCGCACATAGAGGCATACAAGAGCAGCACTGCTTATGCCCTGACAGACATTAGCCTCTTGTGACAGGTGAGGAATGGAGCAGAGCAGATCCTCAAACAAGTCAAGAAATAGATAGAATGCTTGTGAATGCAATGAAGAGGAGAAAGGACTGAGATAGGGAATGGTGGGCAGAGTGGGTGCTTGATTTAGTTTGCCTGGTCAATGAGGGCCTGTCCAAGAGACATATCCCCCAACTGGACTCATAGAGGATATTTTTTTTCAGTACCAAAAAATTGTGCCCACCTTCACTAAGTAGTTGTACTTTTAATATCCATTGATTTGAGGATACATAAAGATAAAAGGCAATTGTGAATGCAATAGAAAGCTTTTACACAAGTGTGTATTTTATTCATCAGAGCAACATTAATGCACATTTGAAAAATAGAGTTATACATATGTGTAGGATATATTCTTGATTCCTTCTGAAGATAATGCTGGATTTGAATTTGGAGTTAAGAATGTGGACATTTTAACCTTATCCTGAGTCCCTTGAACTGTTTGATGTCTGCAGGTTGGGAGTGATGGATGAGAGTGCAAAGATTAGACAGGAAATACAAGAGTCCTGAGTCATATTTTCATTTTTTTTCCTAAAGATAAACAAAGAGCAAAGAAGTCATTTACCTCCTTTGAGTCTTTTTTGTCATTGGAATGAGAATAGTAATGCTTGTTATTTAACCTCCTAATGATTGTGTGAGGTGGAACTAATCTGATAGATAGGAAAGTTCTTGCAAAGCGTTTTGAACTATGTGAGGATAAAGCATTGACAGTGGCTTGAAATAAGAGAATCAAATAATCTAGAATATAAGTCAATTGTTATTTAAAAAAACTAACTTGTCAAACTGTGTACTTCACCTGCCTCTTTGTAAATTCGGATCATGGGTAGCTCTGCTAGCATTGGCTATCTCAGTCTGTTCATTTCTCTAAATGATGTGGGTGTGAGTCAAATCATAGGCTCCCAAGTGAAAGGGGGTATTATTCTCAACCCTCTAATCTTCAGGAAGGTTATTCCATGTTATACTTAAGGTTATACTTACATGCTGTAGATCACCCTTATCTCATATTTGAAGAGAAATGTCTTTCTGTCTTTAAAAATCTCTCTTGTATATATTTTCTGCTCTCTTGTGTATAATGTAAACCCAGAAATAAATTTTTACACATTTTTATATTAGAAATATTTCAGTGCCCTAAGCACAAATATTTCAGTGTATTGAAAGGCCAAACTTGATTCTCTTTCTTATTAAACGGTTCAGTGTTCAGTTAGTATATATCAAATAATACTGACTGTGCTGCTTTTTAATACTTGGTAACAAATGCTTTACTATTGAGAGAGGAAGATTTCCCTTAGAAATCTAACATACAGAAGATGAGCAATTCAAAAAGATTCTATAGTTCATCATGTTTTAATATTTTATATTTAGAATGATTGACTCCAAAGACAAAAGCACTAATGAAAACAGACTGAATGCATTTATGTGATACAGAACAGAAAAGGAAAGTTGCAGGTGAAAAATTTTGGTATCTTATAGACAGAGAATTTTAGCTAGACAATCAGAAGTATTTTCATTTCACAGAAGTCTCAAAAATACTTCCAGCCATTTAAAGCACATAGTAGATTAGATATTTCAGAAGCATCTGAATATCCTATGACAATGAAATATGCTTGCTGCATTTTGTATTCAATTTTTATAAAAATCTGCTTTGAAGTCTTTATTGAATTAACAATTTATTTTAAAATGAATGTATTTAACAATACATTAACAACATAATGGAATTACTTTAATTTATAGATTAAGTAAATGTGTAATATATTTTTACCATAATAGTAAAACATGACATTTTAAAAAGCCAAATAATTCCTTACTAACTGCTGAGCAACCCACTTACTTTTGACTCTAATCATTTCTTCTGGTTTTTACCCAGGTATTCCTAAGTAAAGTGTTTATTCTATTATTCTTAACATTTTTAGCCATCTGTGATTGACTTTCAACTATTGCAAATTGCAATTTCACCCTGTTATGAGCCCTTTTTCCATTCCATATGCTCCCCTCTCCTAGCTGCCCAATACAGTAATATAACGCCTTTTGGATAAATTAGCATTAAGTGTTTACAGCCTCTTGGTTGTACAAATGTTATTTGAAGGTGAATCATCATATTAATTTATTTACTTTCTTGTATGACTTCTTGTTTTAATTGAAGTTAATAACTTGTCTCTTTGTGCCTCTCTCTCTCTCCTCATCCTTAGATTTCTACATACTAAAATTAATGTATCCCTAAGTGCTTCCATAAAATTCCAGAAAAACTACACACATCATGTAATTTGTCTGTTTCTCTTTGGATGCAATCCTTCTGGAGACCCCTGCCCTTTGTCTCAGCTGAGCATGATTGGTTTTAGCTTCAGGAATGTTGAACAAGTGAGGTGTCCACCTGCGATTTCTCTGCCCACTGCCCTGCCTCTACCCTCTCACTTTTACTGTACACCCTCCCGCTTGAAATTCCTCACATCCCATTGTATGTTTTACTCCCCACAGCTGGTGAAACATACCCTTTAGCATCTTCCTCAAAATGAATAAGTAGGTAAAATTTTAGTGCCCTCGTATCCCAAAAAACACCTTTATTCTCTTCATATAGTCAATCGATACTGTGCTGCATATAAAATTCTAGATAAGAGCTTTATAATCTAAAACTTTAGCTTTTAATAACTCATCTTATTTTCATATTCAGTGTTTTTGACAACCTTAATCTGCTATTGTCTACTCTCCCATTCTCTTTGTTCTAGTGTTTGTAGCTTTTCTATTTCTTCACTGGAATTGGGGATTTCAGGAGCAAAGTACAATCATTTTTGTATAATCAATAACTTATACCTCCTTCTTGAAGCCCCTAAAAATGTCCATTTAACATTATGTCTGTTAAGTTTGCCATCTATAACCACTGAATTATTTTGATTTTAAAGGCAAATGTTTGCATTTTTGAGTGAGCATATTTTTAAATCATGAAATTGTTGAAAATATAGTTTGAAGTGAACTAGCTTTTGAAAAATATATAAATTGCTTTTTCTTAACATTTTGAAACCTTAAGATTTGAATCTGAATTTAATTCTCCAGAAGCATATAATGCACTTATTTCTCAGTCTTTGATTTGCTCTATAAATTATACTCAGAAATTTAAACTTGGAAATAAAGAATGAGTAAACGTTGTTAATGAAGTAGAGTGGCTTAAGGGACTGACGGTGAAAGAAATCAGGGGTTTTGACCTAGTTTTGTTATACAACCTATTTTTTTGCCATGTACTGATAAATTTGGACTGTGAATCAAGTCTGCCCTAGTTGCATCCCATATAAGCCCTGCCTAAACTACAGTTGTCAGGTTTCATTTTAGAGAAATGAAATCAGGGATGGACCTAATGGAATCAAACAATAACTTTTCAGATGATGTCAAGGTCTTTGAAAATCCTGCCACGGTACCTATGGATCATGGCACCATCTCCAGGAAGCCCATGCTGTATAATGCAGAACATTAACTGGAGGGGAGGGCACTGCTCACCCAACCCAACATTAGTGCAGATGAAGCACTGCTACAGATGGGAAGCAGAACACTGAAAAGCAGGGACATGGGAAACAGGACCAGTAATTTGGTTTTTCATGTCAGGATGAAGTGAGAAGTCATGGTATTGAGGAGTCAAGAAATATTGAAATCATACCTTTACCTAGCATAAAAGTCGATTTGTTCCTGTTTTTTTCAGTCCTCGTGACATTAAAGCAGTGATCTCAATTTTTTGCTAGTGCCACGGAAAACTCCTAACATTTGTTAATCTTCATTTTTAACAAACAGAGACGCCTTGGACCCCTGGCCTCTGGCAAGCAAAAGAATCTAAGTAAATGATGAAACAGAGTTGTATGTTCATTTCACATTATGGTAACCTATTGATGACAGTTGATTCTGATTTCCATTTACTGTGATGACATACAGTTTCCTCTTATAATAAATGTGCTCAGTAAAAACATTAATACATTTCAAAGAAAATATTCACAAATAATAGTAAAGGCAGTGAGAAAATATATCAGAAATTGTGAGCCTGGTGCACACACAGCTAACGTGTGGGAAGTTCAGGCACGCAGCAATAAAACAGGAGACCTGGACTTCGGTTCTGTCCATGGCAAATATATGACCTGGGCAGTTCATGTAACTTTTATTTGCTTCTACTTCCTCATCTAAAATGAGGAGTCAGCTCAGATCTCTTAATAAACCCCTTATATTTCTTAAATGTTGAGATTTCAAGGATTTTCTTTGCGCTTAATATAGGCACAGGTTGTTTTGGGTTCGCAGCAACTAGCAAGGAGGAAAAGATCATGAAGCAGCTGATGATAACCACCCAGGTCATCCCCCTGAGGATCACTGGAATGATAGAATAACAGACTAACTGTCTCATAGAGCTTTAGAGCTTATAGTGAAAAGGAAGAGCTCTTTGATTCCCCTCACAGGGCCACAAGACGTGTGACAGAGGTGTGGCTCACCTGTTCAGTGCTCCCACCACTCAAACCCCTTCCGTGAGGGGGAGTATGCAGATGGGCACATGTAGAGGCCGGGGCGAGTACTTTGGGCTCCAGCTCTGCAGTAGTGTCTAGGGGTGGGTGCCTGCAACCCGAGAGTTACAAAGCTCTTTCACCTTTGCTGTCCTCAGATGGCTTGAATGTTAACGGGCTCAATGGACGCTCTGCCTTTTTGCAAGAGCAGAGGGCCAATATGATGCTTTCTGTACCCCAAGCTCTTGTCCAGCATCCCGGAAGATTCGGGTCACACACTCGAAGAATGAATGCAAGGTTTTATTGAGCAGTGGAGGTAGATTTCAGCAGGATGGATGGGAAGCTGGAAGGGGGGCATGGAGTGGGAAAGTGATCCCCCACAGGAGTCGGGCCTCCCACTGGCTAAACTCCTCTTCAACTGCCCCCAGCCAGACTCCTCTCGGCGTTCAGATCTTCCTCCTTTTCTCCCTTTCTCTGCCACGTTGTTCCACCATCCATCTGCTGATCTGCTGGCTTGCTGCTCTGCTCCGAAGTTTGGGGTTCAGGGTTTATATGGGTGCAGGATAGAGGGCATGGTGGGCCAAATGGCAACTTTTTGGGTACAAAACCAGAAATTCCTGTTCTCATTTAGGGCCGCAGATATACAGGCTTGAGGGTGAAGCCTTTGCCAGAGAACCACCCTCTTGTATCTGTATTTCCCTGTGTCCTGTCCACATCAGTAGCACTCTTAGAGATCATTAAGATGAATTCTCCCTGCCAACACTCATTTAATAAATGAGAAAACAAGTGTCCCAGAGAACGTATGTGGCCCATTATTATACAGTTGAATAGTAACAGGCAAAAAACTATTTATATCCATGGGCTTTGGCCTAGAACCCTGGCTCCACTTTGGTTCTCTTCATTGCATATCATTATGGCCTTGGAATATGATTTTCCTGACCTTATAATGCTTTTAAAAAGGGAGAGCGATACCTGGGTGCTGATTTTTTTTTAATCCAGTACTTTCAGAAATGAAATGAGTTTCATCAATACCAGCAGCTAATCAAAATAACTCAGGGCTACTTTTGTTTCTGACATACTTTGGGTAGTTTTGTCCAAAAATATTCTATTTCCCTTTGATGGTTAGATCTAACTGAAATGTGGGATATACCTGGACCTCTCCCCAAGAACGTTGTGAAAATAAGCAGCAATTATAAATGGCTTAAGAATTGTATACAGTTGCATTATTAATTTATGTTTTTTGTCCATTGGTGATATAAAATAAAAGCGATTCTTTTCAAAAAAAATGGAAGAGAAGAAAGTTTACATGCTTTTTGGTTTTTCCCTCCCAGGCCTTTAGAGTCTATTGACTGTTCATCAATTTAATTATTGTGTTATGTATGTCTAATGTACTCACCACACAGGAGGCTAAGTAGTTTCCTTCCCCCAAGGTAGCTTTCAATGGCTGGAAAACGATCCATCTGTGAGCCACACTGGCCTCTTCGGAAATACCCTCCTATTGATTACAAGAGAGAATTGTAAAAGATTATTCAAGAGACACTACTGAGGAAACATATCAGTGTTACTTTAATTATGACCTAAAGCAAATTCTTGAAACAAGGATTGAACAAGATCCACAGAGCACCGAAGAACTGTGCAGTGGATGAGTAAGCCAGATAGAGATGGACAAAGACCAGAGGAGATGCACTTGGGAAATGGTAATCCATCTGTAGCTGCTACGAATATGGAAAACATCTATTTATTTTATTTCAATAATAAAGGTATTATATTTAAAATATTTACAATGGCTCCCAAAGTGGGGCAAGGTTTTGAAAAGTAGCAGAAATAAAGTGAAAGTATTAGCAGGTATTTATTGAGTACTATTGACTTCCCTGAAATGAAACTTTCAGTGGCCTCCTGCTGTCTATCAAATGAAAAGCCTTCTTGTCATCTCCACACTGAGCTGGTTCCCAAGTGTGACTCCCAGCTACTGAGCAGCAGCGGGGTTCCAGCTCACCTGTCCTGTTCAAGAACATGCCCGAGATTGCTCTACCAACATGAGTTTGCTCAGGCTGTTTCTTCAAATGTTCTTCTCCCAGCAGATTCCAGTTTCTGCCTTTGGGATTTCAATAATACTCAGAGGCTTATTTCATGGCCTTACTCTGAAAAGCCTCTCCTGATTATCTCAAGTAGATGCAAGCTTTTTCTCTTTTTTTATTTTTATTGCCTACCACACTTATTCCTTGTTCTACTTAGTAATTACTGGCCCACGTGTCTAATTTTCTCTTTCTTCCCCCAAGACTGTGAAGTTCTTGACATCCTATGGAACATAGCAGTAATTTATACTCATCAAATTGAAAAGATATCTTAAACACCTTACAATGTATTTTTAAAGAAATAGTATCTCATACATGAAAAAGTGAATCACTGAAAATTCAGATCACTGTTAGGACCATAGAAGAAATGTCTCAAAGAGACTTATTAGTTTCTTAATTTAGAATAAAGGGAGCAATCTCTTTAGACTAGGGGACTCTAAAGAAATTGCTGCCAAGGAACTAGGATTTAAAATAGATTTAGAAAGGTTTAGCTAATTGCAGATAATAATCTAGAGAAATGGCATGGGCTAAAGTGTAGAGGAGGAAAGTATAGGCTGCAATCAAGAGACATAGTTGCTAAATGTGTGTTATAGCATATTTATATAGTGATAGAGGGTTGCTATAGCTTGCAAAATATTTTTCTTTATATTATATGTGTCCTCAAATACTACCCTGTAACACTAAGGTGCCATAATGTTTTAAGGCCCTCTGGGATTATCTGTTTATTCTTCTCTCCTATTTATCTGTGTGATCAGAAACAGAGGGAACCATTATTATGCACTTTTATTCCCCTCAAGGCTAAGCACTTTTTAAATAAATAAACAAATGGAGAATGATTGTGCTGATTATACAAAATAAGTCCCTGAGAGAAGTGTGCTTGATCACAGAGCCCACACTTAAACATAAGGCTTCCTTGTCTGTCCAGTGCTTCTAGCATGCTAGGACAGCAGGCCTAGGCAGAAGAGAGAAATCTGAAAATGTACATCTGATGAATATGATAAATAGGGTAGCAGCCATTTAAAAATTAGAACCAATGGAGTAAAACAGATGATATCTAAGATGTATAATGGCATCAATTAGAAGGCATTCTGAAAAAAATTACAAGTAGGTAGAAGTGGATTTAAATGAAGATATTGTATTAGTAGCATTACATTTCACAAAATGAATAAAACTACAAATGATACATCTTTAGAAACAGCTTTTAGACAAAAACTAGATAATTGATATGTGAAATTGCATGAAGACAGGAGAAGCAGCATTTTGCCAATCTCTCTAGTAATAACCACTGTCCACATCTTCAAGAACCACAGTAAGATACCACTTTCGAAAAGGCATCCTTGACACATTCCACATTCCATTGTACTGTAATATCTCTTGAGCTTTCAATTAGAAATCTGTATTGTTTGATTGTCAGCTATGCATCTGGGGATTACAAAGGTGAATAAAATATTGTCCCTGGCCTCCTCCCAGAGGGAAGTATATCACACAACTCTGCTCGGATCCACTGAGTCTCACCTCCTTCGGGCTCTGGGCTACTTGTTATGCCCCAAGTAGGGGCTCTGACTCAGCTTCTCAGGGTTAGACTGAAAATATCACGAAGAGGCGCTGAACATATATGTTGAGTTCTTAGGATTATTACCCAATCTGTATTAAATTACTGGGGTGAGGCACAGTGGCTCACTCCTTTAATGCCAGCACGTTGGGAGACCAAAGTGGGAGGATTACTTGCCCAGCAGTTCAAGACCAACCTGGGCAACATATTAAGCCCTCATCACTGCAAAAAGCTACAAAAAAACCTTAGCCTGGCACAGTGGTGCACTCCTGTAGTCCCAGCTACTCAGGAGGCTAAATTGGGAGAATCACTTGAGCCTACGAGTTCAAGGCTGCTGCAGTGAGCCATCATCACAGCACTGCACTACAGCCTGGGTGACAAAGTGAGACTCTGTCTCAAAAAAATAAAAAAATAAAAATAATAAAAATAGGAATAAATACATTATTAGCTCCTATGTTTTGCTCACAGCTTTAATACCCCCCTGAAGTTCCCCTAATTTATGCCTCCTGTATTGCACATGGTAGGCACTCTACTAAGAACAAATTGAAGCTTCCAAATTAACAAAATATATTGAATAAAAAAGAAAAATACCTCAAATGTTATATCTCAAGGACAAAAAGTATTTCTTTTAGTGAGAAAATCGTCTCAAATATAAAAATAAAAAGAGAATACCTTAACATCCAAAAACTCAGTCGTTAAAATAAAAGAAAATGAGAATATCAATGAAGAAAGAATCCGTTTGCTGGCAATTTGGCTCCATATGTGATTTGGCAGCTGTATTAGTTTCCTACTCCCCTGTAATATTTACCACAAAATTAGCAGCTGAAAACATCCATTTATTATCTCACAGTTCCTGTGAATTACGTGACCAGGCAGGGCTTACCTGGGTCTCACAGGCTGCAATGCAGCTGTTGGTCAGGGGCACATCCTCATTCGAGGCTCAACCCAGGGTGGAGTTGGGGACTGGAAGGTTGATCCACTTCTAGGCCACCTCAGGTTGTTTGCAGAATTCATCTCATTGTGGGCCGGGCGCGGTGGCTCACGCCTGTAATCCCAGCACTCTGGGAGACCGAGGCGAGTGGATCCTGAGGTCAGGAGATTGAGACCATCCTGGCTAACACGGTGAAACCCCGTCTCTACTAAAAATACAAAAATTAGCTGGGCGTGGTGGCGGGCACCTGTAGTCCCAGCTACTCGGCAGGCTGAGGCAGGAAAATGGCATGAAACTGGGAGGCGGAGCTTGCAGTGAGCCGAGATCGTGCCACTGCACTCAGCCTGGGTGACAGAACGAGACTCCGTCTCAAAAAAAAAAAAAAAAAAAAAAAAAAAGAATTCATCTCACTGTGGCTGTGGAACTACGGGCCACATTTTCTCGCTGGCTGTGATCAAGGTCTGCTCTGAGCTCCCACAGGCTCCTTGACATTTCTCCTCTCTCAGAATATAGCAGCTTACTTCTTCAAAGCCAGCAAGGTATAATGTAACCTAATGATGGGAAAGACATTATGTCACCTTTGCCAGATTCTGTTAGTTAGAAGCAAGTCACAGGCTCCTTCTGCACGCAAAGAGAGGGGATGATGTAACTCATTATTACCTGCTTAGAATGTGTTCACCGTGACAATGTTGTCCACTACAGTCTATATATATGCAAATGATTGGCTACCTTTATCTATAACAATGTCAGAAACAAAGTCTAATGACTGGGAAGTTGACCATTATTTCAAGATATATTCCTGTGAATATATGAAGGCATTGTGCTCAATTAGGGGTAAACAGTGGAGATGCAGTCCCTATAGCTGTAAAGCATAGTCTAATGGGGAAGACTAACATGAAAGACAAACAAACAAAAATCCTACTCCCATACATAATTAGTTTCTAATAAGTACTGAGGAGGAAAGGAGCAGGGTTCTAAGAAAATGACTAATGAGGAAAATCCACTCTGGTGCTATAAAAGAGAATAAGAAAAAGTACTTTGAAGTTGGTGATCAGGGCATGCTTCCCTAAAGAAATGTCATTTGACTACCTAAAGAATGCCTAGAAGTTATTCAAGAGGAAGAAAACTTGAGGTAGAGTGAACACAAGAGCAAAGGCCCTGAGGCAGGAACAATTAGGTCTTTCGGAGAAAATGGAAAAATACCAGTGTAAATAGAGAATATGCCCTGTGGATAGATAAAAGTGGGGAGATAGGAAGGGGATTCAGGCCATCATGAGGATTTTACATTTATCCTAACTGCATGGGAATCCATTGAAGAGTTTTATGCAAGGGACTGACATAATCCAATTTGAAAATCACTAAAGGAGAAACAATCTTTTGCATTTTTAAAAATCCTCATTAACTTGAAAGGGTTCTTGCCTCTTGTATGTAGTGTGATGCTTTTTTGTGGAGTTGTTGACAGTATTTCCCAGGTAGTCTCTAGGGAAGACACTGCCGAAATTAAAGTAATTGGTATTTAATCATGTCTTAGTTAACATTTTTAGAATACTGCTTTTAGCATGATACTTCTTCCTATGTCATTTTTTTGTCCTTTTTAAAACTAGTGATTGCATTTTTATTTTAGGGACTTAAAAACATTGCAGGTGGCATACTTCTGTTCATATTTGTTATCCCAATTTTGTCTAAGGCATTAGGAAGACCTATGTGATATAAATAGCAAGTTTAAAGTAAACTGACCTTATTTTTGATGATTTCAGTAGAGAATTAAAGAGACTAGATTCTACAGTTTTCCTGTATTATTCAGAGAATTCATGGAGTAAAATATTTCAAATTTCCTCTCCAGTAAGAAACAATACTTTTTTTCTGTGATTTTTATCTAATTAGCTCTAAAGCAGCATTTATATCCAAAAGCTCTCTACAGCAACTCCATTCCCATGTAGAATTCACTGTAGGCAGAAAAAGGACACACTGTTGAAGTTTTTTGCTACCAATTAAAAAGCAAAATAGCAAAAACCATCCCACTGAGAAGGCACAGACTAAACCTTATCTCATTAAGACTAAGTCTACATGCTTTATTTACTTGTGGTTGAGAATCAATGCCCTATTGTCTTCTAGACATACATAATTTGCAACAGAAACAAGAAACAGGAGATACATCTTCATTGCTTTGTCTAACCTAGTAATTAAAATGAGGGTTTTTATTTTCAAATGGACAGTATTAGCAAGTCAACAATGGCTTAGAATGATACAAACACTACATGGAGAATTATCTGCTACAGTAGAACTTTCCTTATTACCTTGTGCTTAGCAAATACACAATTGTTGAATGAATGAATGAATGAATGAATGAGTGAATGAAGTTAGATTAGTGCATTGCATCTGTTATCTCACTAGTTTGGTAGACAGTTTGCAGAATCTGTCCACCAAAGTTGGGGAGCACTGGGGTCAGGATCAAGGGATGATGGTTTCTTGGTTTCAACTTTGGTAAAATGAAAAGTAGACTCAATTATTCAGCAATAGAGGATACCTTTCCATAATATTCTGGGAAGATATAATAGTTTGTTCTACTACCCAAGTAGTTTTGATGAATCAGGTAAGTGGTTTGGATGATAAGCATGGAATCCTGTGTTTTCATTTGCATGTGTTTAATGATATAAATTTTCTTCCTGTACTTTGGGAGCAAGGATGTATGTTATCCACTGTAGCATTTTACATAAGCAAAAAAAAAAAAAAAAAAAGCTACATTTGGCTACTTCTCATTGGGAAATTGTGTCCCAAGGGTGCAATAAATATGCCAATTTTATGCAACAGATGTAGGACTGGACACATTGAATTATGAAGATGGGGCAGAATGCAGACAATTAATAATGCTACTGCTCTAAAATATAGATGAGTTTTAAAGAAATGTTTTGATAGTTGTCTTGATGTTGTATAATAAGATGATTTCTACTCTTTGCTTTGCACAGTTAATTTAAATGTTCTTTGTTCTGTAAAGTCTATGTCAAATAGTCTGAAGGGCAATCAAAACTTAGATGCTATTTTTTCAGTATACGGACATTTGTCCAAAGGATTGAATTTTAAGGATGGTATTGGCCACATCATGTACGTTCATGTCCTATGTATTGAGTGACACAAATATGCAAAACATATAAAAAGAGTTATGTAAGTTTCTATTTGCAATTTATCCTGTTCAATGTGCTTTTTCTACTTTGGAAGAATATATTTAGGATGTACGTAAAAAATTAATTATTAGTGTAATATTTAATGGGAAATTAGGAGAGCTATAAAGACACCAGGTTCTTTGTCTAGGGGAGAATTAACTAAATCCTTTAGATGCCTGAGTGTTTTCTTACTAACTTTTCTTTAATGTTACTATTTAAAACTCCTTGGTAGAATGGGATTAGCCAAATATCAAATGTGAATTATCACATCCATATTTGTTTAGTTGAAAATACAAGGGTGGTGCAGATTTAAATGCACCAGTTTATTAACCTTGGAGTTTGTTAGACATTTTTGTTTTGTGTAAAGCACTTATATTTTTCAGAAACATTTTTGTTTTGTGTAAAGCACTTACATTTTTCAGAAACATGAGTGGAACTTCTGTTACGTTCTTTAAGAAATTCCTTTTAATTCCCACTTGTCAAAAGGCTGCATTTCCCTGCTGTAGACTCTTCCTTTGGCACCCAGACAATACACACAAGACTGCCCACCCTTCCTTTTTTCCCTGCCCCTTCTCTGGCACTCAGCCTCCTGGCTTCCTCGACCCTGAATGCATCAAACCCATGACTCTGCCATAGAGCCTAGCACATGAGAGGGGCTTCGTAAATGTTGATATGCTTAAGCTTTTTGGGCTTTGATTCCCCTACCTGTAAACTTGGTATAATGACAGTACCTACTTCATAAAGCATTCATGAAGATTAAATAAGCTAAATGCAAACTAAATTAGTTCAGTTGTTAACATAGGGTCACAATCAGGGATAATGGTTTCTTGGTTGCAACTTTGTTAAAATGAAAAGTAGATTCAGTAATTCAGTAATGGGAGTTTTTATGGGCTTAGAATGGGGAAATGCATGCTGATGGGTCCACGGGTGGGCTTGGAAAAGCACCATTCGATTGGGTGAAAGGCATCATTCAGAAGGAACCAGTCGAGAGAGGGTAAGACAGGGATAGAAGTTTTCACTCCAGTGGTGGACTCCATCTGGAACTGCCAGCTCGGTTTTCAGGCTTTAAACTGTCCTTTGGCTTGAAGGTCGGGTTCAAGCCATCCCTGTCTGCCTAGAAATTTGTCTGTCTCCTGCTGCTATCATCATCATCAACATCATCATCATCATTGCCTTTAGATAAAATTAAATACTCATTACAAGTAGAGATATTTCCCTGAGAAAAGAAAATGTATATCATTTCTCTCCTCTTCTTATCTCACAGACTTAGTAAATTTTCCAAGGACCCTTGAATCATGTCTCTAACACCTTTGCTTTAAAGTGAAAAGCAGGAAATCCAGGGGGTTGGAATATCTTACCCAAGATGATAGAGCTAATTAATGAGCAACATATCCTGAATTCATGTGTTCTGATATCTATGGGTCAGCACATGTTTTCTACACAGCAGAATCTCTCTCTTCCCCTGTAGCTTCTGAAGTTGCTAAAGACAAACCCTCCTATTAATATCCTCTGGGTTTATTCTAGGTTGAAACCTTTGCCCTCGTTATTGGTTATCTGTTAATGATAGCCTGCCGGATGGTTCCTAAGGCTCTTACTGCAAAGGCTGATACATAGAAACATAGAAGTTTCCTTATGATGAAGCCAGAGAAGCTGTGCTGCTCTGAAAGCTGCCCATCTGTGTACTCCAACTCTATGAGACCCAGAGACAGGCCAACAGGCCAGTCTTCATGGGCTTGTGGCTTGAAGGCTACTGGACCTTAGAAGGGCCCCATGCTTGGTCTAATGCTCTGCTGTGGCTATCTTAAAATTCTTAATGTTCTTTGAATGAAATTCCACATTGTCATGTTTCTCTCTGCCCTACAGCTTTTTTGGCCTGTCTGCTGAAGAAATAGTGGATCTTTGTGATAAATCCCTGGGCACTCAGGGAACTACTGTTGTATGGGAGAAACTGCTATGCTTTTAATAACAAAAGTCAGGACTAGAAACTCCCCCGATTAGTAATATAGATGAAAACTTTATTTTCATTAGAGCAGCATATATTTTTTCTAACAGGACTTTTTAACTTTGATATGACAGAGGAAGAGAAAAGACCTGCTCTCAGGCAGCTATACCCTTAGTGTCTGGGAGGAGGACACTAAGAGAACTCTATAGATTTAACCTGGACAAATTCCTCTCAAGCACTATTTAAAGGGACTTTGTTCTAATTTTTTAAAAAATAAAGAACATAATTTGACATATAAGAATAAAGTTAATAATGCTTTGATAAAACCTGTGCAAAAGGAAAATAGCTTTATTGAGACATTCACCAGCATTTTGACCATACAACTAGACTAATGGCTTTGTTGAAAAGTAAGGTAGTAAATTCAAAATCACAGAAGTACATTCCCAAAAAGCAAATAACTTTGCATCCGATTAGCATTTTATTCTAGACAACTGGAGGAGCTCAAACTAATACTATCCATAATATGGGCCCACCTTTATACACTGGTATTGAGAGAGGCTTGGCAAAATGACATGCCCACCATGGAGAGCTCCACCATATCATTTCCCTCCTGGGCAGACAGGAGGGCTGAAGAAGCAGACTGGTGAGAAATGGGCAGCTCACTCTGAATCTTTGCCCTTTGAGTTAATTCTAGTTGACCTACTTGAGCAATGATTGAGGAATTTTTGATTCAGTTTGCCCTGATCTATCCCCTGGTGAGCATGGGCTTGTTATTTTTTAATGAAACTATTTTCACAGCCTGTTGTTTTTGGTGTCAGAGATAGAGGAGAGTGAAGTTATTTTTTTTTTTATTCTTATTCCATTTTTTTCATCAATCCTAGTGCCGCTTATGCTGCTGAATTGCATTTTACTGGTGTCTTGCAGCAAAGCATACTTTCTAGCAAACAATGCAAGAACACTAACAAAGGATAAAAATAATACCAGGCAATGACCAATGAGAAAAGCACACACACACACACACACACACAGCAAATACCTTTTCATAGCAGATGCCAGAATTGTAATTATATAATTTTGTCACCTTTCTTGCTTTATGTAACAATATCTGTTGGGAAGTACTTGTCACGAAATTGAATATTTCTCACCCAATTCATATCTTATCTCTTAAAATCAATGTAAAAGTACTCCTTTATATTTTTTGTTGGTAAAGTGAACTCTGTTTAGTTACTCCAGTTTTCGCCCTTTGGCAGTTAGGGTGGGTAAAAGTCGATCCCTGTTCTCCCAAGAGGAGTTTTCCAATTAGATGCACTTTATTTCTAGAATAAGGAGGATCTGACTACACAGTTAGCACCCCCCATTCGTGAGATTTCATCACCTCCTTTCAAAACTTGCGTTAGTGGGATTGGAGGGTTTTTTTTTTTTGTAAATTACTATTAAAGTTTCAGAAGTGGATAGAAATCTGTTATTTAGAAAGCAGCTGGGTACAGAAGTCAAGCTGAGCTAACTTTTAAAATAAATCAAATGGAGAAGCAATACTGCAGAAAAGAGTAGATTTATTTCACAGTATGAGCTTTAGTACATTAAAAGCACAACTAAAGGCAATGCACTAACAATAGTCAGTACAGATTTGCAGATAAGATGTCCTTAGCTACCCAGCCATACATCTTCATTTGTTTTTCCATTTCTTAATAAAACGATCAGAGAATAGGTTTACAAAACTGAGTGTCATTATCATGACTTTAATCTTGTTTAAATTCAAAACTGTCCTCTAGGCTTTGTGTCTAAAGGAGAGATTTATAGCAATCTGTTTTTTTTTAAAAAAAAAAAAACAGTAGATTGTATAAGAATTACTATTTGGATTCTATATTTCTAAAGAAAGCAACTCTGTAATTTTTGGAACAGCTCACTGTAATAAAACATCAGTAGGCTTTTAATTTCAAATGAATAAGCGATCACGGGAAGAATGTATCAGCACACTGAATATTCTCTAAAGCTGGTAAAATAACACTCATATCTGTAATTCAGGGTCAAGATGGATAATTGGACCATAGAAATAACATCTACAGTCAATACTTAGACACAACAAAAAATTAAATATTTGGAAATGTCAATGGTATTCAGTGGAACTTCCTAATCAAGTCCTGAGTGCCAAGTGGAATTACTCTAACTTAGAAAATACTTCAGGAGCAGCTTAAAATATAGAAAATGTCCAGTGGGCTTATCACACATAGTATGTGTGTCATAATCATCTCCAAGTGACAGCCTTTTGCCTCTTTACTTGATATTCCCCCCTTGATTCCTCCAACAGTGTTCCACCATCAACTAGTATGACTGGGTCACGAAAGTTCCATCTTGGAAAATTCAAATTACTTACATTCACTCAACACTTTGTGTTTAATCCCTTGACTTTAAAATAATAACTCCTAATATCTTAGGGAGGAGGAAGTGACATTACAGTCAACAGTCATGGCTTTTAGATTCCTTCTGAACCATCTAAGTCCTCCATCTGCCCTACTCCCACCTTGCATTTTATCATGAAGTGACACATAGCAGAAGAGCAGTATAATAAAGTTAAGCCAGTGACTTACTACTTTCCCCAAGGGTAGAAATCCCCTCTGTTTCTTTTCTCTTTTGTTTCCAGGTTAAAGGGTGCATTTGCAGACATCTAATACCATGCATGCTGATCTGAAGGAATTTCCCTGGGGGAATGTGAGATGTATATGTCTTTTTTATAGTCTTATGGGAGACTTTTACTTTTAGATAATCACAGGTAAATCAATATGGTTTTAGTCCCTCTGAACCAATAATATATGTTTACTGAATTGGATTATAAAACATATTATAAATTAAAATTATCTTATTTTCTTTCTTAAGATGCTTTTTAATACTTTGTAGTGATAAGATTTCTGTAGTGGAATAGTCTATCGAAAAAGCGTTTCAGCCAGGCTCCGTGGCTCATACCTGTAATCCCACCACTTTAGGAGGCCGAGGAGGGAGGATCACTTGAAGTTAGCAGTTCGAGACCAGCCTGAGCAACAAAATGAGACTCTCTCATCTCTAAAAAAAAAAGTTTTAAAAACTTATCTGGGCCTGGTGGTGCATGCCTGTAGTCCCAGCTACTTGAGAGGCTGAGGCAGGAGTTTCGCTTGAGTCCAGAAGTTCAAGGCTGCAGTGAGCTATGATCCTGTGCATTGCACTCTGGCCCAGGTGACAGAGTGAAACCTGTTTTTTTTTTAAAAAAAAAAAAAATGTTTTGATACTTCAAACTCTTAAAAATTCCTTTGTTAAGTATATAAATTATGCCCAAAATTTGTGCCATTTTAAAACTGAGTAAGCATTTTAACTAGAATACTTTATCTTAGCCTAAAAATGTTATCTGTTATATAATTATTTTCTATTGACTCACAGAAGATGCTAGAAATAACTATATAATTACTCAATAATGAGCTAAGTTTCTAGGGAGTGAAGGGAGTTATCCTTGCTTAAAAATTGGGTAATTTTTTAAACTTACCCAGTTTTTAAGGTTAGCTTTTCTAGGGCTTAAAGATACATTTCTGTAAAAAATACTCATTTGTTTTTCAACCTACATTAAAAGAATATTATGATTACCTCTTTTTTATTTTGAGATGGAGTCTCACTCTGTCACCCAGGCTGGAGTGCAATGGCACGAACACAGCTCACTGCAGCCTCGACGTCTGGGGCTCAAGTGATCCTCCCACCTCAGTCTTCAGAGTAGCTGGGACGACAGGGGTGTGCCAGGGGTCAGCTAGAGCTGGGGTTTCTCTACATGGCCCAGGCTGGTCTCAAACTCATGGTCTCAAGTGATCCACCTCTCTCAGCCTCCCAAAGTGCTGGGATTACAGGTGTGAGCCACAGTGCTTTGGCCTCTCTTTAAAAGTGCCTTTTTTTTTTTTTTTTTTTTACCATGAAAGGACAAAGCTCACTTTATATTTTGTAGAGCATGGTATTTGAACAAAGTTAAGGGATTGGTCATCATTAAAATAGTTATGACACTGTCTACTAAATCATTTGTATCTATATTTAATACATCAATACAGAGTTATAGAAGTTCACATATAAAATGTGGTATTGACAGTGGAAGAAAAGGAAAGAATACAAGATATATTGGAAAGAAATGACAGATATCTGATTTTCTAGCTCATCTCTTATAAATGATTTAATACATGAAAATTATTCAGCATAATTTCTGTGATTGTCAGAAAATGACAATCAGTATAATATACTGAAAAATGATTTAGATTAGTTGTAGTCCTAGGCTCTTCACTTTCTAAAAATGTGTCAGTTTATCCCAGCACATTAGGAGGCAGAGGCAGAAGGATCACTTGAGTTCAGGAGTCGGAGACCAGCCTGGGCAACATAGTGAGACTTGGTCCCTACAAAAATTAAAAATAAGTTAGCTGGGTTCTATTAGTCCATTTTCATACTGCTATGAAGAAATACCTGAGACTGGGTAATTCATAAAGAAGAAAAGGTTTAATGGACTCACAGTTCCACATGACTGGGGAGGCCTCACAATCATGGCAGAAGGTGAAGAAGGAGCAAAGACACATCTTGCATGGCAACAGGCAGGAGAGCGTGTGCAGGGGAACTCCTATTTATAAAACCATCAGATCTCCTGAGACTTATTCACTATCCTAAAACAGCACAGGAAAAATCCACCTTCATGATTCAATTAACTCCCACCTGGTCCCTCCCACAACATGTGGGGATTATGGGAGCTACAATTTAAGATGAGATTTGAGTGGGGACACAGCCAAATCATCTCACTGGGCATGGTGGTGTCTCAAGCCTGTAGTCCTAGCTACTCTGGAGGCTGAGATGGGAGAATCTCTCGAGTCCAGGAGTTTGAGCTTGCAGTGAGCCATGATTGTTCCACTGTACTCCAGCCTGGGAAACAGAGCAAGACCCTGTGTCAAGAAAAAGCCTGTCACCAAGTTGCTCTGAGTTAAATAAGTGGAAGTGGTGCTATGGAAAATGTAAAGCATTATGTAAGTGTCACCTTCTTAGAATTCGTGTAGAATCACCAACTTTAGAACTAAAAGTTTGTAGAGACCCCAAGCCTCTCTGACTCCATTATGGAAATAAGGAAATAGGCCCAGGGAGGTGGGGACAATTGCAGGACTTGGACCTCAATTCAGACCTCTGGACACATTTCATTTGTTTGCTTGTGTGTTTATTTATTTTTGTATATTTACTGTTGGAATGTAGTCTAAAATAGAACACCATTGGGATCATTAAGAAGTGTATTGTTGTGTCTTTTTTTTTTTGGAAATGTGGAAGCCAAGAATGAAAATGCTGTAGAGATTTCTTCAGTTGCATCCTCCTCTGTTTAGAACTTCTGGGGAATGTGCCTGTCTTTGAATAAATGGAAACATCCCTTGCAAAAGTTGTCTAGCTAGTTTCAGGCTAAGCATCTTAACAAATCCTGGCTTTAACCTACCAGTCCTATCTGAAGTCATGGAATGAGTTAGACACCCCATGTCTCCCAGTTTTCCCTTTTATTTCAGGTGATTTAGCACTTACTGAGTCTCCTTCATAATGAATTAGTATGATACTTTTTACTGTAGCAACTAGAATGGAGATTATGATCGAAAAATAATGTCATTTCAGTGAGTTTTGGGGCATACTATTACACTATTTTCAAGACAATTAATGAACTTACAGTCATACTTTCTAGCGTAATGCTGTCCAATAGAACCATAATGGGCACTACATACTTAATTTTAAGTTTTCTTGTACTCACACTAAAAAAGCGAAAAGAAGCAGCTAAAATTATCTTAATAATATTATTTTAATTCAATATGTCTAAAATATTTCAACATGTAACTAATATTTTTAAACTATTAATGATAGATTTTGCATTCCTTTTTTTAATACTGTCTGAAATTCAGTGTCTATTTTATACTTACAGCACATCAAATGTGGATTTTAAATTTTCATCAGAAATACATGATCTGTATTTGATTTCATAAAATTTATATTTGAAAAAAGTAAATTTACATACCCAAGTTATTCCAAAGATACTTAAAATTATTCCAATAACAGAAATAAGCATCAGTCATTGATTTAAATTTTAAATCAATTATTATAAATTAAAATTAAAAATTCAGTTAATAAGTTATATCAGCCACATTTCAAATGCTAGATAGCCACATATAGCTAGTGGCTACCAGATAGAATTATCGTTCTAGATATTCAGTGCTGTCACCAGGATTATTGCTGTAGAAGAGAGATAAAAAGTTCATCTATCCATCTATTTTATTTTATTGACTAGTGCTTTATTTTGCAATGCAAACATTACCTACATACCTTCTGTAATTAATACTTAGATTTTCCTTTCAATATTGAATAGTAAAACATCCATTATAAGCACTGATGGGAAGATAAACCTTGGGAAATTGCCTTAACTGTGATTGTTAGTACTGGAATTGACCAGATTTTCTTTCCAACAGCTTTGCATGTTTTGTGGGTTTGTATAACCATGTGCCCTGCTTTATAAATACTTTCAGTTTAACCTGCTTTGTTTCACTTGATTGCTCTAGTATGGTTAAAGACAAGTGTTTTTGAATAACAGCAGGCCTATCAAATTGCCAACTGGGAAATCCATGGAATATGCTTAGGGCAGCTTTTTGCAGCATTTCCTGTACCTGGCAAAGAATTTTTGAAAAAAATGTTAAATAGCACAATGGATTCTTAACTGGCAGACTCTAGGAAACACTTTTATATATAATATATAGGCTTACTAGTTGCCATTACTTTTTAAAAAAATTAGGGCTTTAGGCCCATGTAGAGAGACAGTATAGCAAAGAAATTAAAAGCATGATTCTGGAGTCAGAACCATTTAGAAATGATATGAATTTGTCTGAAGTTACTTTACCATTCCAAGCCTTAGTTTCCTCATTCTAGAATGGAGATAAGATTAGGACCTACTCAATGAAGTTATTGGAGAATTAAATGATAATATGTCCTTGACTTTGTACCTGTCACAGAGTAAGTGCTCAGAATATGAACTGTTACTCTACAAGACTAGTGGAACCACAGGCATCATTACACTTGAAACTCATCACCAGGAGTTAAGAAGAAGGAAAGCAAATACTGTACGTGACCATTGTGAAGTTAATTCAAGGAGCATAAACCCTAAAGAGTGGCATACCAGTGGCCTCATCCCCGGTTTGTTTATTTGTTGTTGTTTTTAATTAGGGTGCAAAATCTTTACATCAAGAAGCAAAAGGAATTGTTCATCAGTTTCACTATGTGATTTTTGCTTTTCTTTACCTGTTCCAAGATGGCTAGTTTGATTATATTGTGAAACAATAACTTATAAAAAAATTCTCTAAAACCATTCTATGAGTAATAGATCAGACTTTTAATCAAGGTATTATTTTATGTTCTGCAAATTATAGCAAAGATAAACATTGTGAAGTACATTTGCTAGTTTTATGTAGTGCCAGATTGGTAAATTACTGTACTTTTTTGCTGTCCTATTATTGTTGGTGGTGGTTGTTTTTTAATTTACATCATCCTTCATGTTCCTAGACTCCTATTTCTCAGAGCCCTTTTCTGTATTATTATTATTAATGTGGCATGTTTAATGTTTATAGTATTTCCATAAAAATAGTTCATCTCTGCTAGGTAGTTTTCAATGTTAAAGCAAATGTGCTTACTCATTGAATATGAAAAATATCCCTCTGGAACAAATGTAGAACCATCCATCTCTTGAACAGAATTCTTACGGGTTTTACTTATCTGCCTAACTGCCTTGAAAACAGCTTGGAAATCATTCCCATACTTTTGGGGAGCAGTCAATCATTTAGACAGTTTCCACTGAACAGCTTAAAATAATCAGGTTATTACAAGTAAAAATATTTTAGGATGGGTATCTATGCCAGCTAACATGAAAACCCACACTGAACTGATGTTTAAGATGTATTATTACAGGCAAAAAGAAAAAAATCTTACTTTGTTTTTTGCACTGGCAGATTACAAAAGTTCATGGGACAGCAGTCATAGAAACACAGAGTTTTAGGATGAATTATGCATTATTTTAAAAACCTTTAGTATTGAGTTGTTAGCCCTCCATGTGGATAGAATTTCAGAGCCCTTATTACATTTTAAAAGTGAAGCTAGGGCAGAAAGTGACTCAAAATTAGAAATGTCAGGATCTTCAATTTTGAGGTATGGCCATTTATTCTTAAAGATACTGCATTCAAACAAAAAGGAGTCAGCTGAGGTGGCTCACGCCTGTAATCCCAGCACTTTGGGAGGCCTAGGAGAGAAGATAGCTTGAGCTCAGGTCATCGAGACCAGCCTGGGCAACATAGTGAGGCCCCCATCTCTACAAAACCAATTAAAACTAGCCTGGCATAAGGGTGGGTGCCTATAGTCCCAGCTACTTGAGAGGCTGAGGTGGGAGGATGGCTTGAGCCAGGAAGGCCAAGGCTGCAGTGAGCTGTGACCACACCACTGTACTCCAGCCTGGGTGAGAGAGTGAGACCTTGTCTCAAAAAAAAATAAAAAGAGAGAGAGAGTGAGATAGAGAGACAGAAAGAAAAAGAAATAGGGCACCATTTCAAAGAAAACATAAAAGCATTTTTTAAATATTACTTCTTTATGATTTAGAATGGATATTTTTTCTTCCAGAAATGAAAGACAAGTGTCTCTAGAAGACCAGACTTTAGAATAAACATTGCAGCAAATGTCCAAGCCTTGGCATATACCCCATATTTTGTTGGCATCTTGTATAGGTTTCTAATCTTATATTATAACCCATATGAATGTCCACTGAGGACCACAAAAAGATCTTCATGGAGAAAAAAAACACAGCTTCACACATTAAATTAAGCATAAGAGGAGCACAAGACTCGGGCTTTTTTTGGGGGGAAGTGAGAACAGCTCCAGCATTCGTTCTTCCCAGCAAAGGTGAACATATGGCCATGGTGTCTCCTGCTATCAACATTTTTGCCCCTGAGAGAGACTAGCAAGTCGGAACTGGTTAGAGACCATCAGAGAGAAAGAGAGATCATCTGCATCTCAAAGGATTAAACAAGCATTGGATAGAGAGGAACAGAAGGCTTCAGGTAGAGACAGTGGTGTGTGATCAAAGCCATTCATGTCTTAACTTTACAACTGTGTGGAGAGCTCAGAAGGAGGAAATATGTGAGCAGATCAAAAGATCAGTGTTGCAGTAAAGAAAGAGATAAGATTGAAAAAATGTGGAGAAGTGAATACTCAGCCCATAATACATGCAGAAAGTATTATCTGGGCTCAAAAGTTGTTGTGGGGTAGGGGGATGGGGGAGGGATAGCATTGGGAGATATACCTAATGCTAGATGACGAGTTAGTGGGTGCAGCGCACCAGCATGGCACATGTATACATAAGTAACTAACCTGCACAATGTGCACATGTACCCTAAAACTTAAAGTATAATAATAAAAGAAAAAAAAAAGTTGTGTCAAAGAACTCAGTTAGAAATTGGTTGTAATAATACAGTGGTGAGCTAGGACAGAAGGAACAAAGAGATGGGAGAAACATTAGAAAAATTACCGGGAGAAACACTGACTGCAGGTTACAATGGCTGGTCAGAAGTGGGTCAAGACAAGTTTCCAAATGGGTACCAGCAGTAGTAGTGGTACCATTAACAGACACTTTGAGGAGAGCGAATGCCAGGAGATACTGGTTGGGGAGGACTGAGGCTTTTTGGTGTTTTAACTTCGTATAAAACAGAGTAACTTTTAGGTTTCATTTTATGTAACAATTTTCATGCTATAACAGAGCTTGATTTTTCTCAGGTCATTACTAAAATATCACCAAAGAGAAGAATTCTGGATATATTAGAATTCAAAAAGATATTAAATAGAAAAACAAGACTGGGGAATATATTTCTTAAACATGTGTAAGATGTTTGCAGGTTACAAGCAAACCTCCATGTAGTCTGTCTACTGGAAGAATCATGATGGGACTGGACCTTCAACCACTGGCAAGCACTAGAGATAAAGTATGGATAGCCATCAGTAAACATAGTAATTTTGTTGTAAGAATAGGTTAGATTTACAGAAGTCCTCTCATGGCCGTGTATAAGCACTTTTTTTTTATTTCCTCTCTCTAACAGAAGAACCATCTACTTGATAGCAGTGGACACTTTTGATGCTTTTAATTGTAGAATCTTGGAATAATACACTGTGCTATTAAAATTGCTCTTCTACTTTCTATAGTTCTATGAAATGGAAAATCATTTGGCTTTAGTTGTTACTTATTTAGTGATGACAAAAATGAATTTGAATGAAAACACAAATTTTTTACAAGAACAAAATTGAGCAGTACAGCAGTACGGGTTTATCCATCTTTCTGCAAGTAGTCATCTACCATTTTTATAGGTTACGA
Organism: Homo sapiens; assembly: GCF_000001405.40. NCBI lineage: Eukaryota > Metazoa > Chordata > Mammalia > Primates > Hominidae > Homo > Homo sapiens. The sequence continues at coordinate 95,385,277 of NC_000004.12, read as the reverse complement.
GCACTTCCGCACATCGACACAATAGGAACAAAATCATAAACAGCACAGTTATGTTCTTAGAACGTGTTTGAAATAAAATGAAGTCTTTATGAGCATGAAAAGTTTTTTTTTCTTTGACTGCAAGTCTACAAAGCACTGTGAATGGATAATATGAACAGGGTGCCCATAATTGTTCTAATGGTTGAGAACATTTCACCTCAGTCTGGAGGATTTCTCATTCCCACTTCCAAATCAGCTCCAGACCTCCCCCTGGGCACAAATACAACATGAAGCACTCCTGTCTCTTCTCCTTTTTAACCCTGTCCTATCTGTACATTCTCCACCTAATTTGTTAGTAGCACCAGTCTTCCAAGGAGACACTTCATTCCTAACTTGTCCCTCCCCTCTAGTAACCACATACAATCAGAGGTCTAATCTCAATTTAGCCTTTAAGAATCTTAAATTTTGTTCCCTCTTCTCCGAAGATGCTATTTTGGTAGAGGCTCTCCTGGTCTCTCACCAGCTTTGCAATATCCCCCTGCCTACTCACCCGCTTTCTGTCTTCTATCCCTCCAATCCCTCTTCCGCATATCCTACAGCATAGTCATTTTCAAATGGAAATCTGGACTTGTCATTTTCCCCCTGAAAAATTATTTAATGACCTCCTGCCAGGATGTCATTCAAGCTTCTTGATTTGACCCATTAGGTTCTTACCCACTCTCCAGCCTTTATCTACACTCATGCAGTGTTGACTGTGGTCCAGCTTTACCACACTCCTGGACGTTCTTCGTACCTGCTCTGCTCAGCCCCCTCCTGGAACGTGGTGAGTGTTTAGAGTGCCCTGGACACACACTCCCACCTAAGTGGCTCATCTTTCAAGGTTCCGCAAAACATGATCTCATCTAAACTTTTCCCCTGCATGCCCATCTGTTCCCTTTGCTTCACACTTATACTATTACTCCTGTATTTGTAATCATTTTCAACCTCTCTCTCCATGACACCGTGTGCTTTTTAAGGATAGAGGCTATCCATAAGCATTCTGTTTCCAAGACCAGGTACAGAACCTAGCACGTAATAGTTATTCAATAAATATTTCTCTCATGAAACTAAAAAAGTAGGTACAGATGGGCTTCACATTGGGCCCTTATATCTGTACATAATGAAATATTTGGGCTTGGAACATAGCATCCTAGTTATTACTTTATCTTAGAGTAAATCATTTTTGAACACTGTACTACTAATTAATGGCTCTTTATGAGTTAAATTAGTTAATACTATTTACAAATGTGTTTAGTATTGAAGTAAAATAACATTCTGAGACAATCTAGTTCCCATTTTTTAACCAAAGAGACAAGTTTGAGTTTCCTGATGTGAAGAGGAAACCATTTGGTCTTATCAAAAATTAAGATGGAAAGGTTACATGTGCAGTTATTTGCTAATGTAATGAGAATGTCCATGTCTCCATTTATTAAAAACTGGGAAGTTTATATTAAAGCTGATTGTCATGCTTCAATTAAGTTAGCAAATATGGATGTCAATTTTATCACAAATGCAATATTAAAACTGATGTTTGGTCTTGTCTTGAATGCAATGATTAAATTCAATCTAGTACTCAACTCTCTCATATTGAATAAAAAGTAAACAGCCTGGTGTTTTCCATATCATGGAAATCTCCCTGGTTTGCTGTTGTTGGGTATTTATACATACATGCAGTTAGCAAAAGGTAAGCAGATTCATCATTAAGTTGTTGTATTGAATCAGTAAGGTGATAATTGAATCTTAACATACCAAAACAGAAATCTCAAGAATGGCTATTATGGGACTAGTTTTATAAAAGGGGAAAACATAAAATCAGTAGAAGAGATTTGCTTTTAACTTCCCAGTATATCGTATGTGTTTAACAATAACAATAAATAAAACCCATGCACATATAATTGAATGTGCTTGTTCATTAGTTTGGAAAAGAGATCTGCTCATTAGTTTGGAAAAGAGGTATAACAATAAATAAGTGTGTGTGTGTGTGTGTGTGTGTGTGTAAACACACACATATTTATATTTCTCAGATAACTGATGTGTCCTTTGCTGGAAGAAGAAAACTATGAGAAAATGTTGGTGATATACTTTTTCTTCTTCTGTTTTTGTATTTGTTATTTTTGTGCTTATCTTTAGTTTTGATATTGGATTAAACTTTGGCAGCTTTGCTTACTGTTTATTCTAGGGATGCTTCTTGTATGGGGCCTCTGTTATCATATCCTGCTAACAATACAGTAAATGGAAATTTGGGGAAAGCAACAGTAGGAACTGCTGTGTATCTGCGGTTAAGTTAATCAGATTTTGATACCCCAAAACCAACACAGCCCACAAGACTGATAGCCCAATGCTGCAGTAAATTGTTTCTTAGCAGGAAATCCACAGTAGCAGTGTAATTTGGACAATGGAGCATTTGACAGCTAACCCATCAAAAGCAGTGCACCCTGAGGAAGTTGCTCACTTCTGGCTTTACATTCAGCCAAGCATTGATAAAGCAGTGGCTAAGTAGGAGAATCAATTTAAAATCAAATGATAGCAAGGCTATTTATCCCATTGCCAAAAGAGGACAGAGACAGAGAGTAGATTATTCCACCTGAGGACTCTATACTGTCCTTACCCAAATGAGGGGATGGGTCAATTATGCCTTCTCAATTCCTTTTGAGTGCCAGTTTTCTCATATATTAATATTTCTCATATATTAATATAAGCATGATTAAAAGCTAAGCTATTGTCTATTCTCAAAAGATGGATTTATGCAAAATGATTTTGGATTATTCATCTTAATGAAAACACTCTTTTTTTTTTTTTTTGACAGACGGTCTCACTCTGTCACCCAGGCTGGAGTGCAGTGGTACAGTCTCAGCTCACTGCAGCCACAAGTGATCTTCTTCCCTCAGCTTCCCGAGCAGCAGGGAGTACATGCGCATGCCACTATGCCTGGCTAATTTTTTTATTTTTTGTAGAGACAGGGTTTCACTATGTTGCCCAAGCTGGTCTCAAACTCCTGGACTCAAGCAATCCTCCCTCCTTGGCCTCCCAAAATGTTGGGATTACAGGTGTGAGCTGCACCACCTGGCCTGAAAGTTTTTAAGCTTCAAGTCCCACAGAACTTAAATATGTTCCTGAAGGGCCACAGTAATGATCCTGGTAAAAAGGACAAACACTTATTGAAACCTGCTACACTTGACCTGAGCAAACTCATTAGCACCAATTGTGGATTGACTGGGAAGCTTGGAGACAAGCTTCTTACTTCGTCTGGGACTCCTGAGCTTGAGAGTGGATGCCTTAGTAACCCTACAGTTTGGGATTTGCTCTTTTCTTCTAAGAGACTATTACCCACCAACTGCCCCATACACACACCTATACCTGCATTCCAGGGTTGTGATCAATAACCAATCACTATTAAACTGGCATCATACCAATATGAAAGTCCTCCGCTGTCTCAATATCCCAATAACCACAAAGATCTATAGTTCTGATTTAACATTTTAGCAGGTTTTTTTTAATCTAAGCACTTACATTGCCATTTAATCAATGTATATGCAATACATCATGCAATAATTTCAGATATTCATTGTTGACAGTAAAGCACTCAAAATTTAGACACAAACTATCAAATAATTAAGTGGTACAATTTGATGTGACATTCTAATATCTGAGTTTAGACATATTCCAAATTTAATTTTTTTGTTAAATTTAATACCACTCAAGTTTACTGTCTCACGGACAGTGATATATGGTGGTAGAGGAGGAGGACTGGTAGTTCTTCTTTCTGGTAATAAAGCTAGAAAAGGCATGTTTGTTTGAAAAGATAAAATTAAAAGACACACAAATAGGAGTTGTTGCCCCTTCACTCCAGTTTTCTTCTAGAAACTTGGCATCCCCACACATACACACGTTTTCCTTTCATACCAGATCTGCTGTGAACTTCAGGCCATTCCGTACATTCATAAATAATGTCACAGAAATACACAATCAACACATCCAGCTCCATGGTATAGCTCTTCAAAGTGGCTCTCGTGGATGCACTATGATGTTCAGTGATGATGAGTGTTCATACTCAGAAGCAAGCATACATCTCACTCTGTACCTATAAGAAATTTTTTTCTTGTTTGATGATAGTGCAATAAACTTTTTTTAAGTATATGTTTCTAAAACAAAAAGCTCCTTAAGAATGTAGTTATACAAAGTAATTATCTCAGGTATTTGAATTAAGAATATTAAATCCTAAATACGTTGTTTTCTTCTCCTATGTAATGAGTAAAATCATCTTTAATATAAATTACATACTTAACAAATATTCATTGCAACAAAGGTTTTAAATTGGTATGGTAAAATTGCACAAAATATGAACTTTCACACTGCAGTTGTCACATGGTCCCTGGGAGAGCCATCCTTTCTGTAATGAGGTTAAGTTAATTAAAGTGGGCTCAATGCTATTAGCTGCATGCAAAACTGAAGGTAAATGCTTAATCATAGAAATTAGAGATGATTATTTAATGAATTCTGAATAAATGTAAGGTTTTAGTCCAGCACGTTTGCAAAAGGGGATTGTTTGTTACACACAGAAAGGTAAGAAAAATGTCATTATAGAAAATCTGGGATTTAGTTCGCAGGGTTTTTGTTTTGTTTTGTTTTTTGTCTTTTCTGGGTAAATGGTGATCTTAAGAAGTTATGTTAAAAATAGTTTGTAGGCCAAGCGTGGTGGCTTATGCCTGTAATCTGGTGATTTGGGAGGCTGAGGCAGGATGGCTTGAGGCCAGGAGTTCGAGACCAGCCTGGGCAACACAGTGAGACCTAGTCTCTCAAAAAAAAAAAAAAAAAATGTTTCTTAAGTATTAGACATGAGGAAAAATAGCAATTTGTAGTAATAATTGTATTAGTGATCTCAAGATTCTTTATAATGTATGATTTCTATCTCTCTAAATTTGACCATGTTAATGAGACAAAATGTAAACTGATCACCTTGACTTTTTAAAATAAATTGAACTGTTCTATATTATTTTAAACATTAAATCCAAAATATTTTTAGATACGTATAAAGTACACAAAGGAGCTAGATATGGGAATATAGCTAAAACAAAAGTAAGAGCATGAGAAAATGGGACAAAATATGATTGATTCCCATCAACGTGGACAAAGAAGCAGCGAATCAAGACAACAGAGAGGGCATTAAAATAAAGTAGGGACCAAAGAGAATTTTGGAAGTGGAAACCTTAAAGAAGATGTTTCAGAAAGTTTCTAATGGAGTAGGAGCAAAGTAATCAATGAAACAAATGCTGCAATAATAGGTATCATTTTACGTCATGCAGCCACACGTCTTTCAGCCACCATTTATGTCTTAACACACCTACAAGCCCAAACTAACAACCCTTCTCTAAGAGTAGCTGACAGAACTAACGAAAGCCTGAGGCAGCGCAGCCATCTTGTCACCTCCGTATCTTAGCGCCTCTGCCCTCTCGGACTCCTTATCGCGCCTAAGAAGTACCAAGCCGTTCTTATTCTGATGGCTGCGGAGAGCTGATCTACCACCATGTGAAACTAAGTCATGTGAAACTAAATCCAAAATTCCACAAGGAATGAGGTCGATCTATCAGTGAAAATAATAGCCCATTTGAGCGCTTCTTCTTTCTCTGACCGGAAGGCAAGCTCTCCAGAGTCCACTGGGGATATTTCCTAAAAACACTTTGAAAGCTCACACATGTGTACTGTGATTTTTAGAAAGCAGGATACTCCGCTTGGGGAATAGGAAGGCCTCTGTAACAATGAAAAATGGTAGAAATGGGAAAGATTCATGAACATGTCCAGAGAGGTTTTCGCATAATTTAATGTTGTTTGTATTTTCTAAAGCTTAGATAATTGCTTGTTAAAGACTCCAGCAAGTTTATAGATAGAGTGCTTGCTACATGATAGTCATTGTATGGCATAAACCTATTTTAGCAAATTTTCCAATAGTGCACAGCATGCATCTGTGACTGAGACAAAAATCAATGCTTATGGATTTAGCAGTGTAATCCTATCACTTGTTTTGTGAGATATGATTTGAAATGTAAAGTACGTTAAGACTTAAGTGAACTTGGAGGCATGGAGTCTCTGGGGTGTTTCTTAGTATCCTATTTATTATTGATCAGACTATTTCTTTATTGTCTCTCTACTCCTCGCCCCAGTTATCCTTCCTCCCCTGCACCAATAGTTTTTAAATTATGTGTATCAGAACCAATAAGTTATCCTTAGTATGAGGGCTTAGTTCCTACTTCCAAAGTAAGGAATAATATGTAATTTTTCCTACCCAGAACATAATCATGTAGCCAGTCAATTTAAGTCTTAGAATAAAAATACTAGTAAAATGTTAGCTCAAGTTTCCAAGCTTTGCAAAGAAGACTTGGTGTTTTTTCTAGACACATTTCACAAAGACAGTAGTAAATCAACTACTTCTAAGCAACTTTAAATAACCCTAAATTATTGTGCTTAGTAGCTATAGGAAGTCACTAGTGTAAAATTTTAGAAATTGTAGTTTTTAATCTGATTTTGTCAAGATTTTAAAACCACATGCTTGCTCTACTCTCAAATTTACTATGAAAGAACAATCAAATACAGTTTGAAGTAGTTCTACCTACCTGGAATTATTCATTCATTAAATAAATATCTATTGGAGATCTATGGTATGCCATGTACTGGGACAAAGTCCTCAGCCCTTATAATGCTTTTATTCTGGTGATCCATCAAAAGCTATTACTCTGTGGAGGCTATTACTAATTAGAATTTGCAAAAATTGTGTTTGTTTAAGTAAATGCAAAAAGTCCGACTCTTTTCTTAGCTTCTGAAATGATCATCAGCCACAATACCCTTAAGATATAAAAATTATGATAGTTACGTAGGCTTTCTTCAGTACTTCAACCTAGCCTGATTTGAGATAAAATTCTGTTGAATTTAGTAAATGTTCTTCTTATTAATAGATTATATATCTAAGGATCTGATTTTTAATTCCTACTTTGAAAGTGAGTTACATTTTGCATTTACTGTACACTTTTGATGTGGCCAATTCAGTTGCAAACTAACATGAATTGTTAAAACTATAATTCTCATTTCCATCAGCGTATTCCTTTGGGAAAGAACATAACCTGTCCATGAAAGGATACTCTCTCTATATATAAACTACTGAATCTTGGATTTCTATTAACTATGTGGCTTTTAGACATAGGTAAATGTAGTGAAAGAAAATAATGTGAGCTTCCATCTAATAAGACCAGACTCTGTCTTTGAAAATAATTATTGGAAGGAGGGTGGGGAAGGAACCTGTGCCCATTCACATGAGCTCTACTTGCTGTATATTTAAAGCAAGTCAGTTATCGAGAAGGAATCCTTCAGAATACCGCGAACATATGGAAACTAGCTGCTTATACATATTGTCTAACTCTTTTAAAAGTTATTTTGACTTTAAAAGACCAAATCCACAGAATGACCTTGAGCTACTATTAATCCACCTAACTGTAGGGCGTGAACACAGAACACATCTGCCATCTGTCAGCTGAGAATTCCCCTGGCACCACCCAGACTCCCACTCCTCACAAAGTCCTCTTGGGGCTAAGATGACTTAGAGAGAGGTCTTTCTTTGCTGGCAAAGAAGGAGTGCATTTAGACTAATCATTAAAACCCATTACCTAACAAAGTGCATGTTCTTAGGGAACACAGAGATACTTGCCAATGAATTAATCAGCAAAATAGGCTAGGAGAAGGTGGGATTAGCAGTCTCAGAAAAGATCAGAATCCATGAGATGCCAAAGCGGTTTCACTTGCCATAAATCTTCACCCAATTAGAGGGATTTTTATCTTAACATTTCAGGGTTCTATCTGGATTTAGTTTCTTTGTTGCTCCACAGTATGTTATAGCTGGGGCTGGAACAACGACCAAGGTTTTCCTGGAGCTTGATAGGGAAAATCATTTATTTGAATAATTGATCATTCAATTAGCAAAGCAAATGTTGAACAGTTGGACAGCTCTTTTTATCAGTGTTGATGGGAAGTAATTGGCTGTAGTTCATTACAAAGCAGAAAATTGAAAAGTGTGATTTTGAAATAATATTAAATACAACCCCCACCAATAAAGCCCTCCTGCCTACTCCTTTTGTCATTGTTGTTTGGTTTTCTTTTCCCTCAGTGCTATTACATTCCAAAGTAAAAATCAAGGAACTGATTATGTTCCCTGGCTACTACTGAACAGTGATTTCCCTATACCAGTGTGTCTAGTGTTAAATAATTCTGCAGAGTAAGGCCTGCAAGTGGAGAATGATATTAGCACTTCGCTGGCTTAAAACAACAGCAAAAAGGCAGACAACCAGAACTGTTGTAAAGGGAGCACTGGAGGGGCTCTTGGGCTCAGCTGAGTTTCCACTCAATTTGTAAGAAGAAACCATATTTTCAGTAAAAATACTTGCATATTAAGTGGTCAAATGTGAATTTTTAACAATAAAATATTGGATGGATGTAGAGTGTATTCATTATACACAACAATAGTGGTTTATCTTAAAAGTAATTTGAAAATACTTAGAAACAATTTGATACAATTGCAGCCTATTCTTATTTCAAAGTAACTTTAACCCTTATGTCAAATGACTGTATTTTGGTTCAAAATCATGTACTCATAAATCAGTTGTCATCATAATAAAAATATTTTATAGGATCACTTGAACATTTCAAGAGGTTCTTATAACTTGGAAAGAGTTATTTAAACTGATTTTTCAAAATAGGAGCTTCTAAAGGTATAAATTGATTCCTGGTTCTCAAGCTGACCCTGTTTTTAGCCAACATAAATATTGATAAATCAGCATAGCATTTATATATACTTGTTCATATAGAATATGAAAACGATTTTAATGTTTAAAAGGAATCTATTTTCTTTTAGTCTCTAATATCATATAACCTGCTTCTTAGAGTAGAAACTGGATTACTGTATAGTTCAGCAGTACAGAATTAAGAACAAAATAATTTACTGAAAACAAATATATATTTGTGTGTATGCATATATATATACATACACATAAGATATATATGTATAAATATGTATGTATTCATACATATATGAGATGTATGTGTAAGTATATATAGAAAGGAACAGATATCTCAAGGGAAAATTTTAAAATGAGTTAATGAATCAAACATTGATTCTGTTTATTCTGTATATATATATATTTTTGTTTGTTTGTTTGTTTGTTTTTTGAGACGGAGTCTTGCTATGTTGCCCAGGCTGGAGTGCAGTGGCATGATCTCGGCTCACTGCAAGCTCCGCCTCCCAGGTTCACGCCATTCTCCTGCCTCAGCCTCCTGAGTAGCTGGGACTACAGGTATTAGTATTTTTAGTAGAGACGGGGTTTCACCGTGTTAGCCAGGATGGTCTCAATCTCCTGACCTCGTGATCTACCTGCCTTGGCCTCCCAAAGTGCTGGGATTACAGGCGTGAGCCACCACGCCCGGCCTATTCTGTATATTTTAAAACTATTCTTGGATGAGAAATAACTTCCACAATAATGCTAAATAATGAGCATGCTTATTTTATTCCTGGATTTAAAGGAAATTTCTGAAGAATTTTCCCATAAAGAATATTGCGTTTCGCCTTAAGATAGGTACTTTGCTATTAGAAAATTGTTCTTCTAATCTTATTTTCAATGGTTTTATTAAGAATGAGTGTTAAATGTCATCAAAAACTTTTTGCCTCAAATTAATTGTATGATGCTTTTGTGGGTTTTCAGATTAGCATTTTATATTAACATGTTTCTTTATAACAATCATCTTTATATTCCAACTTTTATCCTGTTTCTTCATTGTAAAAGGAATACTGACGTATTTCTTGAAAATGGTCTCCTTTAAAATAATCCATTGTCATTTTTTTACCCTGTTTGGAAGTATGGATAATGTATTTTTCTATGACATGAAAGAATCTTAAGAGAAACTACTTTGATATTGGTTTCTTCTTATTTTTACCTAAGTTTTAAAATGCTTTCTTCAATTATGTTCTTCATAACCAATTCTAATTCATTTTTATGGTGATTCTGAACTCCTATTATGTATCTCTGTGTCTGTCATTTTCTCTCATCATTTCTTAATTTAGCTTTTGTTTGTTCATCTCCTTCTTATCCAAATGTTTATTGTGAGTCTACTACGTGACAAATTACTAGGCAAGAAGGATGAAGGAAAGATAAATACAATAAAATATCCACTTTCCAGTCTCTGTTAAGCATTTTTACTACATGTTACTCTAACCTATATTCTTTTCTATATCAATTCAACTGTTTCATGCTTGAAGTGCTGATTTAAATATTCAGCATTATAGTTCAACCTGCGATGTTATTATAATTTAGCAACCATAACATTTTTAACTTCCTGAGAGTCAGTACTGTAAATTTTTCTAAACTTTGTATTTACTTTATATGACATATATATTATACTTGATTTCCATACTTTTCTGCTTCTTTCATGTCCTCTTGAGAAGGAGTCTGACTGCACCAGACCATGCCTCACTTAGACTGGGTTAGATGGCCTGCCACCCTGGGCCTCCCTCTCCAGAGGGTCCCCATTTTGAGCCTTTCCCCAACTATGCTCCTCCTCACCTACCTTCTCTTCTAGATTATGCCTTGGGTAGTCAAGATTCCAGAATTTTCTGCTCAAATGGCTCTAGCTTGCTTTCCAGGGTCTGCATGGATCATTTGCTTGGGCCTGTCCTCTCAAGTAGAAGCCTTGCTGTCAGTGTGTAAATCCCTGATTCTGAGGGGAGGCCAAGGAGCGACTGCTTGTAAGGGGTGTGGACAGAGCATGTGCAGTGGACCAGGATGGCCATAGAGGCATATGCAGGGCTGCTTATGGCAACTAAGGAATCTGGTCATTGAAAACCCGTGACACTCAAAGCACTTAAAGAATGATAATTTGGAACTTAGCTTTATAATATATCTCTAGAAGATATATTTGTCAAGATTAGAGGATAATAAATATTTTACTTAATACTTTGTTGCCTTGATATATAACCTTGAAGTATCTAGGCATATGGTGTGCAAACCTCCATTTGCACTCTTATCCTGAGCCCGGCAAATGTTGAGGGCAAGTCTGCATTGAAATATTATTCTCCTTTGTTTTCTTGAATTATTTTCATAATTCATTAAGAAGAGTCCTGAGGGATGTTGCTTTGACATCTCCTTCCTGTTTTCTTAACATCAGAGTACGTGCTCCCCGAGTTTTTTGTTGGTATGTCAACTTGCTTATAATGTAATTTAAGGGCTAATTCAGACCCATTCTTCAAATGCAGGAAAAGATCACAGTTGGAGGCCAACTGGAGATCAGATCTCATGTGTAGTGATTCCATTAGAGATTGTCATCAAAATAACTTCATCATATTTAGAATGGCTTAACAAACTAAGATGAAATAATTTTTACTCCTGCTTTCTTATTTTGAAGCATAACATAGTTCAACATCAGAGGGACATTAATGGAAGCTCGCCACCCCCTTCCCACATTTGTAAAATGAATCAGTGTCTTTCCATCCCATATTCAACAGCTAAGCTATTTATGTCCCATAAACTCAGGGCTCATTCACTTATTCAGCAGCTATTTCCTGAGTGTCTACCTTGTGCCAGTTGCTGTGCTAGTGCTGAGGATACAGCCGCGAAACAAACAAACTGTTAGGACATTTGGGAGGAAGAATCAGATAAACATCATATCAACACATCAACAATTGCCACAGTATTGGGCAGGGATAAAAGTCACCAAGAAGAATGAAATGGTGCGTAAGGAGACGGATCACAGTCAGGGAAGTATTCTTTGGCAAAGCAACAGTAGAGAGTGCTCCTGGATGCGTGGAGGGAGCAGGATATGTGGATACCTAGAAGGATATTATTTAGTAAGTATTAGAGGAACACCAAGAAAGTCTGAGTGACTGGCACAGATTATGGGAGGGAGAAAATGTTAGGAAATAGAATAAGAAGAGGGTCAGCTCATATAGATGTAGGGCATTCTAGGCCATGGTAAAATGAAACCATGGAAAGCCGGGGAACAGTTAAGTAGTGTTGTGGCATGTGTTTACTTATGTTTTTAAAAGATCACTCTGGCTGTTGCGGGATAGTTGCGTTTAGGGGTCAAAACAAGGAAACCTGCAAGGAGGCCATTACTATAGTACAAGACAAGAGATAGTGAGATGATGGTGGTTTTGACTCTGTTGGTAGCAGAAGACGTTGTAGGAGTTGAATCTGAGGTATATTTGGTCTTTAGGAAATCAGAACTTAATCCTAGCTTCAAGGAGTGCTGGCAGAATCTGCTACAACCTTGTATTGTTTTTACTCTCCTGTGATGGTGTAGCTGCTTGAGGATTCTTCCTGATCAGGACCTAGGGCCTGGTGCTACTTCTTACACCCAACTTTTCAGAAATCTAAACTGAACTCTTTTGTTATATTTGTGCATCCTCTGAGCACTATAGAATGATGTCTCAGTACCTTGCATAGAAGCAGAGCAAGAAAATCTCTCCTGTGTTAACAAACCACCAACCACACATTCGTTCTGCCTGTAAGTGCTATATTTTATATCTATTTCTATTGTAATATGCCTTAGATCTAATTTTGAATGTGGAACGAATACTCATTTTTAATAAAAATGTAATAGTACCCAAACAGGGCCAAAGAAACTAAAAATCAGGATGTTAAATCCCATAAAATGTTTTTGACTATTTCTCAATTTTATGGAATAACAATAAGAGGAAGAATTAAGAAATCTCTTTGAAATCAATAATACCTAACAGAGCAACCTTTCCCGTTTGGAAATCGCTTTTCTGTATGTGATAGGGGATGTCATCCAAAATATCATGGAGACCATTATGTCTGCATTTGTGTCAGTGGGTTTGCCTAATTTAGGTCTCAAATACATGGATGCCAAACACTTAGAAAGCAGCTGTTCTTCTAAATGTATTAAGCAATTTACTTTAGGTAATGTAGCCTATAAAATTTTAATTTTGGATTAAATAAGCCATATCCTGCAGCATGCCTACTGCACCTTGATATTCAAAAGATGAAATACGGGCATATTTAGTGAATTTCTTCTCAGGATGCTCCACTGGAGAAGGGTCAATAGTTTCCTAATGAAAGTAGTCAATAGCAATTCCTCTTAGGAAGCTCAAGGAAATTAGCATTAAACAACAGGCATGGGTGTCTAGGGTTTTACACAATTATGTGATAGGATTGTTACATGTTTCAGGAAATGGTTTCAGGAGGCATTGCACTGAAGAGGCAATTGATAGGAAACAGTGCAATTGTCCTGGCTCTGGGGCTGGCTGCATTACAATGTAGAAATCAGAAAGACACATAGCTTGAAAATCTATACTAAGAAATGCAGAACATGGTTTTTATAAATAAATTGCCAAAGTTAGTAAGGGTTATTGCATTTTAATGTCATGATTTGGAAGAGAACAGATGTTTTATTGGGTGAAAATTTGAGTTAAATACCCATTTGATTTCCAGCTTCTCAAGTGTCCTTTATGCTACTGTGAGGTTTTGAGCTGTGAAAAACTATTTATTGAACAAACACTTACGTAGCCCTGGTGTTTCCAGTGCTTTGCACATGTTAACTTATTTAATTTACATAACAATACTTTGAAGCTGGCGATTCAGTTATCCCTGTTTCTCAAGTGAAAAAAACAAGACACAGAGAGGTTAAGTAACTCATCCAAATTCACACAGGTACTAAATAGTGAACTCAGGCAATGTATGTAGATGCAGGACTTGCCTCTAAACCATCAGATTATGCTGCATCTTCCTATCAGTTTTCATCTTTTCCAACTCTAACCTCAATCACATTTGATACTCCCCCCCCCCCACAAAATATACTGTGTTTTTATTTCTTTCTTATCATAGCTGTAGGTTCAGCAAATGTTGAAGAACAGTGACAGGTCTGCCTTATGTACAGTGGGGTTTGCAACATTTTAAAAAGCAGTATGGATTTTTCTCATCTTTTATGTTTCTTTTTATTTCATGTCCGTTTTTCTGTCAAGATATAACCTATGGAGAAACGTTATGAAACAGCATTACACTGAGGAGACTATCACAGCTAGGGGAAGGCTGCCTCACTGAAGTGTTACTGAAAACAGACAGGCTTTCAATCCATGTTTTTTGGACTAAACAATGTTTAAAGTAACTTTATCAATAAACAACTAGAAGTTTCTAATTTCTAAGTAATTGGCATTACTCTTTTCTTAAATAATGTACTAAATATGAATAGATAAATAAACCTAAAAACTTCCTAATGGCCCCAGGACCCTGCTATGTATTGTGATCACTAGATAAACAACGTCAAGACAAGCTTAAACCTATAGCTTTCCCTCTACAGACCGCTTACTTATTAGAAAAACGAATGACCACTTTGAACTACGTATTCTTTTGAATGACATACTCTTTTGTACAACCCAGTGATTATTTTATTCATATAATCATTGGAAATCATGTAGTGCTTTTCTTATGATGCTGTTGTCTTACTGTGATAAAGTATAAACCTGTACGCGGTAATTACATGGAGTCACCCACAATGGGTGGTGCAGTTTGCTGCTTTTGCAACTTCAGAAGAATGAAAAACACAAATCAAGCTGCCAAATATAAGTGAGCAAAAGAAGGTTAACAAAACAAAACAACAATTAGCTGAAAATGAGTACAAATAAACCTTTCTTTTCATGTAGGCTCTACTTTTCATGAGTGTACCCAATTTTGCTTGCAAAAGCCAGTGACAGGAAACCAGGTCCTAAGGCCCAACTGTGGCCAGGAATATGCAGCCTTTTCCTGCTAGCATTTTTCCTGCTAGCATATTGGTGAATATCAGAAATCGCATGTACAGGCAATGCTGTGACATAAGCAAAAGTAAACTTTCTCTCTAGATGATGCTATATAATATAAATATAATATGACCACATATGAAATTTAAAATTTTCTAGTAGCTGCATTAAAAAAACAAATGAAATTAATCTTAGTAATATAATTATATAGCCCAATATATCTAAAATATCATTTAACATGTATTCCATAATAAAATATTATTAATGAGATATATTACCTTCTTTTATGGCCTGAGTCTTTGAAATTTAATCATATTTACATTTAAGCCACATCTCAGTTTGGATAAGCCATCTTTCAAGGCTCAATAGCCACATATGGCTACTGGCTAATGTGTTGGAGAGCGCAGCTCTAGACCAAGCCTTTCTCATTCTTTAAAAGAATTTGAAATGTATGCTCATTAGTTTTTTTCTACCTCTAAAACTATATCCTGTGTATTCTTGTGGACAGTGAATAAACAGATGGTAAAGTTATTCTGGGAACACAATATGATAGAATAATTTTGGAAACAGTTTTGAAAAAAAAAAGGGGGGGCTACAAAAAGCAGTTTTATCCATACTTGTCATTTCAACTCGTTTTCTTCCTCTGCAATGCCGTCCTTCCTATTTATTCATATTTTACCTACCGCTGTAGTCGAAACTTTCTTTGTTGCTTAATTTTATTTCTATCTGTGCTATCCAATATAGCGGCCCCAGTTACATTGGACCATTGATAACGGTATCAATGGTATTGCTAATGTGACTGAGAAATTTTTAATTTTATTAAGTTTTTGTTAATTTAAATTGAAAACTGCTACTGGATGCAGTTATTAAGAAACTTTTTAGTACACTTGGAATATTTGGATAGGTTAATCTCCTTTTTTTGGAGATGCGATCTCACTTTGTCGTTCAGCTTGGAGTGCAGTGGCGCAAGCAATCTCGGCTCACTGCAATCTCTGCCTCCTGGGCTCAAGCCATCCTCCCACCTCAGCCTCCCAAGTAGCTGGGACTACAGGCATGCACCACCACACCCAGCTAATTTTTATATTTTTTTGTAGAGTTGGGGTTTCATTATGTTTCCCAGGCTGGTCTCAAACTCCTGACCTCAAGTGATCTGCCCACCTCAGCCTCCCAAAGGGCTGGCATTACAGGTGTGAGCCACCACACCTGGCCTTACTTTTTGAACTATAAATTTTATGAAAACCGAATTAAAGTCAAGTATTTCTGGTAAAAATTTAGCACCAAATTGAGATTGCAGAAAGTATACATAAAAATACACACTGGGCTGGTCGCAGTGGCTCATGCCTGTAATCCCAGCACTTTGGGAGGCCGAGGTGGGAGGATCCCTTGAGGCCAGGAGTTAAGGACCAGTTTGATCAACATAGTGAGACTCCATCTCTACAAACAAATTCAAAATTTAGCTAGATATAGTGGATGTCGAGGATGCAGTGAGCTGTAATTGTGCCACTGCACTCCAGCCTGGGTGGCAGAGCAAGACTTTGTCTCAAAACACAGACACACAGACACACACACACACATACACACACACACAGGATTTTATAAACTTGGTACAAGGAAAAAAATGTAAAATATATCCTCAATAAAATTTAATGTTGAATATATTTTGCAATAACAATATTTTGGACATTTTGGGTTAAATAAAATATATCATTAAAATTCCCTTGTTACTTTTTACTTTTTTAAAGTGATGACTTGAAAATTTTAAATTACATATGCGATTTGCATTATATTTGCAATGGACAGTGCTGGTTTAGGTCTCACCTGGACTTTGAGAACATCTCAAACACTTGATTTGGAGAGTAATGGCCAAGAATATAATGCATTCCTAAAACCTGTAAGTCATAACTGGCTTACAGGTGGCCTCTTGAAAAAGTCACAGGGTTTAATGAAGTGCATCATAAATATACATTAGCTGTCATCAGAGACAGCCTACCTTTCAATTTATTGCTCTTTGAAATAATTTTGCCTTTTTTTGTTTCTAGAATTATTTGTTTTTCTTTTTTCATTTATTTACATTTTTAAATGAATTGATAATTCTTACCAATGCCATAATGGGATGTGAAATGTAGTAGTAAGCCTATAATTTGTAAAGCATTTTGAAATTGATTGGTTTTTTTTTTTTTCAAAAAAGATGTTATAAAAACATGTTATTTTACTTAGTTTCTATAGACAGGAAAAGCACATAGACTTATTAGCTTATTGAATTTGCTTTTCTAAATATCTCAGTATTGAATTGAACTACTCATTTATGATATAATTTCATACATCACAGATAGCTAGACAGTGTTATTTTAGACGTCAAAATGTTTTTAAATCATGAAAGGGGTATTCATACGCTATGCTAACAGGCTGTCAGCACACCAGAGACTGATTTAGACTGTGTCTGGGTTACTTTCATGACCTCTAATGCATCTGTGAAAGCATCTATTCACTGCACCATATCTGTCTTTCATCAGAATGAATTTGTCAGCCATTTCTAGGGAAGATAATGTAAAATAATTTTCCACATGTCTTATTTGTATTTCATTGCTAACATGATCTATAATGTTCTTAGATAGAAGCTGATCAATTCAAAAAGAATTTCTTAAGCACCTACAATGGGCTAAGTATGGTAGGTAATATAATTGATCTCCTTGAAACAACTAAAATTTACAGAGTCACTGAAATTAGCCTATGTGAAAAGTTTAAACATCAGAGTAAAGAAAGATAAGTTAATATTATTAGGATAAATAGTATGTTCAAAGTTTGATTATCATCAAGGTAACATAATTAATATTCTTATAGTCCAGTTGTCTAGGAGTTACCAATAAGATTTTAGAGAAGAGGTGATCACATTTTTAGAGGGTAAGTATAAAATATTTAATATATAGAATATTTAAAATATTTAACATCTACATTCAAATAAAGTGGCAACAAAGCATAGTGTTAAGAAGGACAGGAAAAGGCCAGTACGGTGGCTCACGCCTGTAATCCCAGCACTTTGGGAGGCCAAGGTGGGAGGATCACTTGAGACCAGGAGTTTGAAACCAGCCTGGGCAACATGGCGAAACCCAGTCTCTAAGGAAAAACATAAAATACAAAAAAATTAGCTGGGCATGGTGGTGTACGCCCATAATCCCAACTACTTGTGAGGCTAAGGTGGGAGAATCACTTGAGCCCAGAAAGTGGAGGCTGCAGTGAGCCATGATTTGCCACTGCACTCCTGGATTTTTCTTTGAAAAAAAAAAAAAAAAGAATGGGAGAAGTAAGAAGACTCAAATTCTAGGTCTGACGTACCAGTGAGCAGTGGTATGATTTGGGGATATGTTAAGTTTTTTGAGCCTTTATATAATATGTTAAATGGGGATTAATAAACTCTGCCCTACCTAATTGACAGGGTCTTAGTGAAGATGAAATGATACAGGTTTGTGAAGGGTTTTGCTGAACTTCAAATGACTAGTCAAATGCAAGACATTATTATAAATGTAACTTCCTAAATTCCTGTGATGGCTTACAATATCCCTCTGCTGCCAGCAAGCCTGATGGCATTGCAAATTATACTTGGGCAAAAACAGAAAAGTTTTGGTATAAATTGCCTCACAAAGAAAAGTTATTTTTCTTTTGAAATAACAGCCTCAATGTTTAGCTCTGCTGTTTTAATGTGACAAAAATTCGCTTAACAATTAAAAAAGAAACAAAACCAAAGTTAGGTTTGACTGGACTTAATCAGAAGACCTCTTAGGGTTGTCATCTGGAGCTATAGCCTTTGAAAATCATTTTGCACTTAGGTTTGCAACTAGCAATTTTATGTTGACAAAGGTCCTACCAATAATTGCTTCTTGTTACATTTTACAATCAACTTCATGACTAGGTTAGTATTTGATTGTTTTATTCAAATAGAAGATTTTGGAATGTGAAGCAATTTCTCAAAACATAGAGCCATCCAGGAAAGAGATTGGGATTTTAATTGTGTTGCCTTCATTATTGTTGGATGCTCCAGGCAGTTAGAGTTCCTCAAGAAGTTTAGGATAAAAGAATACAGTGACTCATCTCTTACAGTAAATCTTGGATGAAATATAATTTGTAAGTTGATCAGTGTTTTCAGGATCACATATTTTATTTTATTTACTTTATTTTATTTTTGAGATGGAGGTCTCACTA
This sequence comes from Homo sapiens, assembly GCF_000001405.40. Lineage (NCBI taxonomy): Eukaryota > Metazoa > Chordata > Mammalia > Primates > Hominidae > Homo > Homo sapiens. The sequence continues at coordinate 95,366,280 of NC_000004.12, read as the reverse complement.
CATTGCCCAGGCTTGTCTTGAACTGCTGGGCTAAAGTGATTCTCCCACCTCAGACTCCTGAGTAGCTGGGACTACAGGTGCACACCAGTGCACTCAGCCCATCACATGTATTTTATTAATACAAAATAATGCTTACCTCGACTTCACTTCCTAAAACATCATAAAATTGTACCTTTCTCTTTTGAAAAGTAGGTAACTCCAGGCCCTTTGTGACAGGACCAGATAGTGGGTTGGCAGTACTTTGCTGTAGGATATTCCACTGAACCAAATTTAATTTCTCTTCAAATGGAAGAAAACATAGCATATTACAGCTTATAATTTTGATTTAAAAAAAAAAAACTTCTCAGAAAATTCTTTAGAGCAGAGAAATCCTGGGGGAAAAAATCACATCACTTTTTACATAGCAGCTAAACCCTAGATAAAAAGGAAAATAACACCTGGTAGATGAGTGCCTGAGCTCAGATCTCTAGAAATCATCAGTCATCCCAGACAACTGGGTCTTGCTATTGTACTTACTTTAATGTTGTTTATTCTCAGTGATTTTTCATGTGCATTGATATTTAGAACATGTCTCATTTTAACTCTATGTATGTTAGAAATTGATCTGCATTTGAAAAGATAAAGATCAATTGGCACTTTGACACATTTGAGCATTGAAAAGAATATTTTAAAATAGGTTTGAGCCATTAGAAATAACATTATGAAATATAATATTTAAACAGAATTATAAAATTTTCAGTAAGGGTATTATTGTAATAGCAAAATGGAGTAGTACTTTTAGTGATATATTTTAATTTTGAAAATATATATTTATCTTTTACATTATATATTGTTATATTTTTACATTATTTATATGAAAAATATAGAAAATAAAATATATATTATATTAAATTTTTGTATTATATATTTTTAAATGTTATATAATTTTTTATTGTATTATGTTGTATTGTATTTTCTTTATTTCTTTTCTTTTTTTTTTTTTTTTGAGACAGATTCTTGTTCTGTTGCCCAGGCTGGAGTGCAGTGGCACAATCTCAGCTCACTGCAACCTCCACCTCCCAGGTTCAAGAGATTCTCTTGCCTCAGCCTCCTGAGTAGCTGGGACTACATGGACATGCCACCATGCCCAGTTAATTTCTTGTATTTTTAGTAGAGACAGGGTTTCACCATGTTGGCCAGGGTAGTCTCGAACTCTTGACCTCAGGTGATCCGCCTTTCTCGGACTCCCAAAGTGCTGGGATTACAGGTGTGAGCCACTGCACCCGACCTAAATATTTATTTTTTACATGTAAATAAATATATACTTAAATATAAATATATCTATATTAGTTACATTGTTTTGTTTTGCTTATGGTGTCCTTTCTTGATAAAGAATTTGACAGTGCTTACAAAAATACATAAACTGCAATGAATAAGATAAATCCTTGAGAAAGTTAGTAGGGCAGAAAAATAAGGCAATGATGATAATGATTTGATGACGATGAAGTGGTTGTTCAGTGTGGCATCAATACTAAGCACTGCTGTAGACACTTTTGATGTACTTACTCATGTAATCCTCACAATAACCTTAGAAATATCTTAGGATGAAAAAGAAATTAAGGTACATATTCCAAGTCACAGAGTTAAAAAGGCACTCATTTGAAATCTGTCACCCGGCCTTTGAGCCTGGGCTCTGGGTCACTGAGCTCCCCTGCCTTCTCCGTAAAACCAGCAGGTAAAATTACATATACATTTTACAGGGTGCCACACATTTGGTTCTAAGACTTAGCAGCTAAATCAAAGCTGCAAAAGCAATCATAGTGTCAATAGGATAAAATATCAGTCATTTTGAAGATAAAGTGAAATGCTTTACAGATTTACTTGAAACTACCTCCACCAAATATTGAATGCTGTGTCAAATTGTCCCCATATCAATAATGGGATATAGTTCTTGAAAGCATCCACACCTCCTAACATCAACATTTTAGCAGCATTTTGGTGTATCAAAAAGAGGTTTCCTTTTCAGTATCTCCAGACACAATGATGTAGCTTGTGCAGTTGTTGGTGGAGTCACATGTTCTGTGCCAGGAAAGCAGTGTTGTATTTTGCCAGCTCAGCTACAGTCAAACCTGTCAGCCTTCAGACCTTTGGTATTTTTGAAATGCAGTCCAGGAAGTGCTCCAGAAAGTTTCACGGCATGGTTGAGAGTGGCAGCAGAAAGTGGGACCAGGAGTCATTGAGATGGGTCATTTTGAACATGCAGTCAAGTGGCACATCTTAATATGTTGGTAAACACAGATGTAAAAGTATATCAATATGTCACCCCCACACTTTATCCAAACACTTTGCCCAGTATAGTTCAAATGAGGTTTTCAATTGCTTCCCCCAGAAGTGTGAGATTCAGCATCTACGTATGGTAGGCCAATTGCCCCAAGCCTAGGGCTGATGCTACCTTGCTGTGCAAGGAAAGAGGTGATTAGGTCTAAATTTGACTCCTGGAGTGAGGCCTCAGGGTGGCTCTCCAAGGTGTCAAGGGGTACTGTAGCTGTTATTTCACCAGTGAAAAGCGGCATCTGCATGAAACTCTCAGAGGTTTTTTGTTTTTGTTTCTTTTTTGTTTTGTAGCTAAACAATGAACTAACTTGGCACTGTTTCAGAAGGGGCATTATATCAAAGAACATTCTTTCACTCTCTTTTGTGACTGACAAGAGACAAGCAAAGCCTCTTTTATAGAGTGCAATTAATCACTATCAAAACACACAGCTGTTGCTTTAATTTGGCTACTAATTTACTTATAGTTTGATTTTGCCACTTAAAATGAAGTATTATCACTGAGGCAACAATGTGAAAGTATGCTGTTGTAAACGATCTCTGAGTCATAAAATCTCCACTTGTTTTGCCAAAAACTTAATCTGATGTTCAATGAATCTCCCACTGCCCGAAGACCTCTGTAATCCTGGGATGCGACATTTTGTTTGCAGACTCTTGATTTAGTGGTGCCTCTGCCAAATGATCACTAACAAATGATAGCACAGCCAAGTGAGATCAGTGAGATTTGTGTCTGGTTTGTGTAATGGTAAGCCGGTGGTGCAGCTGTCTGCCAGAGACTCCCCCTAAAAACTCAGATATAGTGAGCAATAATCAGCTCATTAAAAAATGAAACAGCCAAGAAGAACCGTTATGGTGATTGAAAACACTTGCTGGTGCAAGTGTGTCCATGGCCCAGTCCACCAGCTGGCAGAGGTGTAGCTAGGGTTTCTGAGTGTGTGTAACTCCAGGGGGTGATGTTTACATAAACTACAATATGAACGGCGCCCCCTAGAGCTGTGTAATATGATATCCCTGCATTTTGTAGTCTACACTTTTTACCTTTTCCATGGTATCCTATTATTATTTAACACATTTGTATTTCCACTTGCCTATAAACTCCTTTATAACTTGTTTCATTTTCTTGATCTTCATATTCCCAGGCCCTAGAGTGCCTATGGCATAGAGAAGGGGTTTTCATTTAAAGTTATTCAATGAATGAAATAAAAGTGCAAATATATTTTTCAAAGCCAAGGATTTTAGCTTTTGTGTTTTAACAAGTAAGAACTTTCCAAAAATACCATTCATATTGGTATGTCAGCTCAGTTGTCACATGATATAACAGTGAGGAATCCTGCGGGTGCAAGTGAAAGAAGCCCAAATCAAGCAGGTTTAAGTCAAAAAGATAAAAAACACATTTATTGGTTCATGTAACAGAAAATCCCAGAATTAGACCCATCTGGCTCCATCACAGTCAAATCCATTGCTCTAAATGATGACCTGACCACATTCTTGCTCCATCTCTCAGCTGTGCCTTTCTTTGTGTTGCTCCATGCAACCTCGCTGTTTCCATCCCACATCAAGATGGCCATGAACAGCGTCATACTAACAGCCAGTCTTTCAGCAATCATTTTCTCCCCATCACAGCAAAATCCCAGATTTCATTGTAATTACACTGCCTTGGGTCATGTGCTCATCCTGAACCAATAATTGTGGTCAGAGGATTGGAACGCTCCGATGGGCAGGAGGGGAAGCGAGTGGGAAACCGAACCACGTGGCCTAAGAGGGTGGAAGAGGTTTCTTTTTCAAAACAAGAAGAAATAGATGATAGAAAAAGGAAAAACAAGATGTTTTCCTGACATCATTCCTCATTTAACAGGTGTTGAAACTAGGGCTCAGAGAAGACATGTGACTTGACAATGTAAGTCTTCTGACACTGAGTCCAGTGTGTTTTTTACCTTATCTTTCATTAATTGTTGGGCTGTTTCAGTTTGTAAGTGATTAGAAGTAAGATATATATATATATAATAGATAATAGATAATCTGTTTTTTATATATATACGTCACGTAGCATGGTGCTCTGAGAACACTGAAGAACAAGAAGGAGTGAATGGGTTGATTGATCATTAGAATCATAAGACTATTTTTTGAGCCTTTGGTTCAGTATGATTCAGCTTGATTTCCTAATCTGTGAAAAAAGGCAGTTTGATTTTTTTGACAGATCATACAAGTAGGTAGAAGCTTTTTCGGAATTACTGGCAGTGATTTCAACAAAAAACAATCCAATGCAAATGGCTGTCTTATTTCTCTGCACTCTTGACTACTGAAATGTTTGTTTTGTTTGCTTTGATTTGGATGTGGTTCTAGTTTTGGTGAGAGTGAAGTGGCACTTTGGCCTGAAGGACTGTGTGTTTTAGAGAGTCACAGACATTCGATCTGCAGCCCACACTCACAGGAGACACTTTCATAAATGCTGCATGATTCCATGTCCACATCTGCACAGAGCAGCACATCCTTGGTGATCACATTTTATTTTAACTTAGTTTTGTTTGCTTTTTAATTCACTTTTTGTGGCAGTTCATCTTGAAGGTATGAAAAGGATAATGATTTCACAAGAACTTGAGTTGAACGCATGCAGAAGAAGAGAGAGTTAAAGGGACTGCCCTGAAATCAACCTGCTTATTTAAGTAGATTTGAAGAAAAACAGAGTATGAAAACAACAAATCAGCCTGACTTATCTAAGAAGAGTGGATAAAATAGTCCCTGCAGGAGGAAATGTGTAACCAAATCCAGTACTTTATCACATCTTCATGAAACCTTGAAATAGCTCTATGAATTTATATTGTTTCCGAAAGACATGTGATCCGTGCTGTCTTATCCTGCCCCACTGTGAACCCTGAAATCAATCCATTGCTCTCTCAAACTTTGGGAAAATGATATGCTGGAAATGTCAATGAACTAGCTGCAGTCACAGAACGTGTTTTTACTTTCTGAGTTTACTGAAGTGGAAGACAGAAAGGATGCCTTCCTAAAAAATAACCGCATATACTCACAGACCTATATTTTCTAGACATGAGTACGTTTCTATTAAAATGCCTCCTTAACATGAGAAAACCTTGTAATTACTTTCTTTCACAAATCATTTGCCTCCTTTATATTTCCAAAGATGGCCAATTCTAATTTCTTTTTTGGAGGTTTAATAAAACAGAGGCCTTGGAGAAAGGAAATGGATACCGTTCAAAGAAATCCACCTCCTGAAACACAAGAGGCCAGAGTTAGATCTTTGGTGCTTCCATCTTTCCACAAATCACTCTCGTCTGTTTCAGCTTACATTAGCTCATAATCATTGTTTTGTATTGTAGATATTCTGAAGAAGCACACTATCAATGGATAAAATGCAATTTAAGATTTCTGGCTCATAAGGAACAGTGAAAGGTGGCTAAACATTACAGTTGTATTGCACTACTTAACTTGGAATCCTTTCCCTGTATGTTTTTTGCAAATTTTCTGTTTGTTTATTTATTTCACAATACTTTTAACAGTGCTAATCTCTTACTCTGTGGAGCAGTTAACAATTCTCCAACTGGTTATACATATCCTGTGCCATTCGTGTCTTACTGCTCCTCTTCATATTGTGGACAATGATTTGCTAAGTCTTTTTCCTTTAACTTACAGATTACCAGTAATTTTAAATTCACAGATAACTTTTAAAACATTTTTATAAATATATTGGTTAAATAAATTAGAAAGTAATGCAAATGAAAGAATAATAAGAACATGTCATTGTAATCTCTGAAGAGACCAGTATATATAGCATGTATAAACGTATTGTTGAAAAGGTAACATCTGTATATTTCTCGTTTAGACCTATAACTAATAAATAGATGTTGGTATCTCCTTGGGAAACTCCACAGAGTTTATTATTCATCAGATGGTTCTCTAAGTCTATGTATTGAGTATTTGTCAAGCAAAAAGGGAATGTTTGCTACTTACTAGCTTTATAAACATTGGGCAAGTTAATGGACTTCTCTGTGCCTGTTTTTTAATCTTCAGAATGGCAGTAATGATATTACCCACGGTGCTATTGTGAGAATTAAATGAGGGAAAATATCCAAGTCCTTAGTAGGATACCTGGCATATTGTAAGTGCTTCTTAAGTATTTGTTATTCTTTAAAATATTTTTTTCAATATTGTTACTAACCATAATACTGTTAGAGAATTATTTTCAAAACCAAGCTTTCACATTTTGGGAGGCAGTGTCATGTTTACAGCAGTCAGGCTTACCAAGCCAGAGGTACCTAGATTCCTTTCCTAGCTCTTCTATTAAACAGATGGATAGTCTTGGGACACACTCAAAGTTTCAAAACCCAAGTTTTCATCTAGGAAAAACACAGGGAGCTTTAAAAAGTTGCGTCCCAGAGGGTAGCTGAAAAATGAGAAGGTAATATTATTAAATAATGTAGAAAAATGGCTTCATAAAGAAAACTTCTCTCACCTTTTTTTTTTTTAGAAACAGTATAGGTAGCAATTATTAAACTGAGAAAACACTTCTCTAGTTTAACAAATGATGCTGAAGCTTGTCGTTAAATCTCATCCAATTTTTTTTGCCCTAGAGCTGAACACCTTTGGCCAACAAAAGAAGTTACATGCCTGATTCTTAAATTTGTAAACAAATAAAACATTATTTTCTGTTTATTTGTACAATGTAGAAGTAGGTCTAAAGTAATTGGCAACTTGGCAAGTTTTTATTTTATCTCAACAGTGAAAATACTTAAGCCATGGCATAGCCCCAGACTTAATTTCTTATATCATTCAATCTTCACTTTTGTCTTCTGATAAATGGATACTAGCTACTTAATTCTTAAATCCAATATGATTTCCAAAACAAACTTATTGGGCATGACTTCAACTATACTGGTTGGTTAATCTTTTACTTTTGATGTAGAATTTAATTACAGACCTCAAATATAACTACCTCCAAATACAACATGAAATCTTAAAACTTTAACTGCCTTTAAGCATAGCCAGAGTCCTTGGAACTTTTTATTTATCTGCAGACTTCTACAGAATAACAGTTTCATGGCTGTGGAAACATTTGTCATATTTCAAAATCTAGTCTTTATCTGTGGCCCTAAAGTAGATTTAGGTCTTGCAAGATTTTTTTATCTTATAAAAATAGCTCACTTCTTTCAACTTCATGTAAAGATTGCAGGCTGGGCTAAAGTGACAAAGAATGCCTTAAGGGGAACTTTGAATGAATAACTTTAAAGGAAACTATTTTCACCAAAGACTTGTCCAGATTTAATTAGTTATGAGGGTCAAAGGGAGGGAGAAAAGGCCAGAAGCCTGAAGGGATTGCCAGAGTAAAATGTTAAGGAGAAGTGAGGACTCACGTGGAGAAGGAAGTGTAGCCACTTGAAGTTTTAATAATTTTGTGACCTGGTGTCAAGTATTGTGATTTCTAAGGGCAGGAGAGGTAAAAATGTGAAATATTAACCAGCACTGTTCATTGCTAGAGGTGACTCATACCCTTACCATCTTCTTCAGTATATTGGGTATATTATCCTTCAAAATAATAAATTTTGGAAGAATGTCATTTGCTCCATCAAAAAGGATGAAATAAATGTGGTTTATAATGAACATTTTCTCTCAACAGAGTTAACACTCTTCTTGCAAAGCCACAAAAAAATGAATTCTATCACATGCCACAAGGAAACTATGATTTTAAAAAAGGACACACATGGATCTAGAATTGATCTACTTTAAGCTAAAGGTAGAAACTGCATTAATAAGGATTGTGATGCTTTTTTGTTTTTGTTGTAAAACACCTGCCAAAATTTTGGTACCATGTAAACATTACCAAAGCCATAAATGTGCAGTGGTGTTTTTTTTGTTGCTTGTTTTTTTGTAAATATTGTATGATGGTAGCTTATACTAAACATAGTAGGTCAGCAGTTGGCACATAATTGGTTTATGATAGCACCAAGTTTGTAAGGGATGGATCAAGTGAGGCAGAGTATTTATTTAAAAAGCAGTAGTCAAGACACAGAACATGTATAGCATTATCCCATTTATCTGTTTTTGAACACTGTATGTGATTCACACACACACACACATTCATTCTTTACTGTAAAATTTTAGCTACTAACATATGTTACTATTAGTGTTTTTTGTGGTTGTCATTTTTGTTTTTGTTTTTGTTTTGAGACAGGGCCCTGCTCTGTCACCCAGGATGGAGTACAGTGGCTTGATCATGCTTACTACAGCCTCAACCTCCTGGGCTCAAGTGATCCCTTCACCTCAGGCTTCCCAGTAGCTGAGACCACAGGCATGCACCACCAAACCTGGCTATTTCTTCCTTTTTTTAATTTTTTGTAGAGACAGAGGTCTTGCTATGTTGATCAGGCTGACCTCGAACTGCTGGGCTCAAGCGATCCTCTGGCCTCAGCCTCCCAAAGTGCTGGGATTACAGGCATGAGACAACAGGCCTGGACAGTATTTTAGTTTTTTAATAATAGCTTTTTAATAAGGAACATGTAACAGCATAAAAAAAATGCAAGGCCAGGTGCAATGGTGCACGCCTGTAATCCCAGCACTTTGGGAGGCTGAGGAGGGTGGCTTGAGGCCGAGTTTGAGACCAGCCTGGGCAGCATAGCAAGATCCCATCTCTACAAAAATATAATTTAAAAAATTATCTGGGTGCAGTGGCACATGCCTGTTGTCCCAGCTACTCAGGAGGCTGAGGTGGGAGAATCACTTGAGTCCAGGAGTTGGAGGCTGCAGTGAGCTATCATTGTGCCACTGCACTACAGCCTTCTATGTCACAGAGTAAGACCATGTCTTTAAATAAAAAAAAAAACAAAAAAAAGGAAAACAAGAAATCAGTAGTCCACAGGGGTAGCTCAAAATTAAGAAGAGAAAATAAACCTCAGATGAATTAGAAATGGGTTGGAAATGTTGTCACAGACCTTACAAAGTCAGAAAATACATAGCAGAGCCATGAAATTTTGATACTGGCCTGGAAGGTCTTCCCCTTAATACCTGTGCAATCTCAGAAAAGTCACTCAGACCAGTTGCGCCCAGTTTCCTCTTATATAAAACGAGACAGTTTTACCAACTCTAAAATTCACTGTAGATATTTACTTATGCAACAGATTACTTCTCTATAACCTCAAGCAATACTCACTCATGTTTTCCCACCCTACAGTTTTGTAACTGCCAGTTAGCCAGTGAGAATGGCCACAAAGAAAGGAGACATTTCTCTGGACCTCTTTCTCTTGCCTTGTTACCCAGGCCTCTCTCTCACACAGTCCTGATACACAGCCATGGTGGAAGCACAGACTCCTAGAGTGCTAAGGGACTTCTAGACTATATTCACTTTCTGGAAACTGCCATTTGTGTGTATGATGTCTTTACAACTTGGATTTTTGTTTATAGAATATGAATCAATCCATCAGCTCACTTAAACACACTTAGAAAAGGCAAAAGATCATTATGAATGTGGCTGGAACCAATACCAAGGCCTCGAACTCATGGTTCAATGTTCCTTTCACCACTTGCTGATGCCTCCCAAGCAGTACTTGAAAATAAACAAATTTTGGTAAGTGATATGGTAACTGGAATTTCTACATAGGGAGATTTTTAATAAGCAAATTCTGAAATTTTGATTATAAGTTATAGCCTAAATTTTAATAGGGAGAGAACTAAGATAAGACAAAAACAATTTTGTATACCATAGGAAAGAATGAGGAAGAACGAGGAATCTGTTTTTTTTTTGTTTTGTTTTTTTTTTTTTTTTTTTGCTACAGGGTCTTCCTCTGTCACCCAGGCTGAATGAAGTGCAGTGGTGCAATCACAGCTTACTGCAGCTTCTAACTCCTGGGCTCAAATGATCCTCCAACCTCAGCCTCCTGAGTAGCTGTAACTACAGGTGGGTGCCACCACACCCAACTAATTTTTAAATTTTTTGTAGATACAGGGTCTCTCTATGTTGCCCATGCTGGTCTCAAATTCCTGGACTCAAATGATCTTCCCACCTCAGTCCCCCAAACTACTGGAATAAGAAGTGTGCACCCAACCAGTAATAAGGAGTCTTAACAAGGCATTAACACAAAAACTAACGTATTGTTTATTAAAAGTAGTAAAATGAAGAGTATTGACTTTTATATTTTTAAAAATTGGGGGAAACATAGTTTTAGGAATCTCTATGTATTCATCCATTTATTCAGCAAACCTCGTCTTTTATTTATCTTTGGTTTTGCTATGTACCAAGAGTCCCTTAGCACTCTAGGAGTCTGTACTTCCACCATGGCTGGGTACTCCAGATTAATAAATGAAATGCACAGAAACTTGTTCAGATAAACTCTGTTTCATGCTGGGGGGGTGGGGCGCAGAAAAGAACAATGTAATATATTACTGTGTGATAGGCACAACGGTGCAATGATGCCCATTGTGCACTGGTAGCAGGGGGAGATGGCAACAACCCCATGCTGGAAGGGCCCAGAATGACTTGCTGGAGGAAATAAAGCTTAAGGTGAACTTAGAAGACTAGGAGTTCACCAGGCACAGGAGAGAAAAGACATTACTGGTGGAGGGATTAAAGAGTACTAGAGCTCAAGTGTATTTAGGAAAATGAGAGAAGCTTGATACCAAAATAGACATTCAACAAGAAAATAAGGCAAGTAGAATATTTTTATATGTGGATATCTTATCTTGTGGTCATCTCTAAGCTAGGTCATTTACATTCCCTTATTTCATGTAACCCACACACTGTCGCCACATTGCCATATCTACAGATTTTATAGCCACAAAAACTGAGATTTGGTGAAATGTCAGAAGTCACATACCTAATAAGCAGCAGTACTCATATTTAAAACTAGGTCTGTGGAATCTCAAAGCCTATTTTTATAGCAATTACACAATTCTTAATCTATGAGAACAAAATCTATATTCTTTCCTAGATACAGACAGCTCTGCAATCATTTATTCAAAAAATACAAATTCAACTCCCTGAGCATAATAAGCACCAAGTATGCAAAGATGCATAACAGCCAGCTAGTTAGCTACAGAGCTAATTATAAAAGGTAGTGTTAGAAATAGATATAAGCCCCTAACAAGTTGAAGATACGGGTGGGAGAGAGATAGAAAATGGTTCTAAACTGGCACAGGTGAAGAGAGTCAGAGAAAACTTCCTAAAAGAAATGATGCTGGCTGGGCATGGTGACTCACACCTGTAATCCCAGACAGCACTTTGGGAAGCCAAGGTGGAAGGATCACTTGATCCCCGGAGTTTGAGACCACCCTGGGCAGCATAGCATGACCCCATCTCTACAAAAAAATGTAAACATTAGCCAGGCATAGTGGTGCATGCCTGTAGTTCCAAGTACTCAAATAAGGCTGAGGTGGGAGGATGGCTTGAGCCCAGACATTTGAGGTTACAGTGAGCCATTATTGCACCACTGCACTCCAGCCTGGGTGACAGGACAAGACCCTGTCTCTTAAAAAAAAAAAAAAAATATATATATATGGAAGAGTTAGGTAAAATACGATAGAAAAGTCATTGAAGACAGAAGGTGTAGAAACTGCGTGTTGTGTGCATAGGATGATACAGGGTCTGTGTTTTTGGAATGTGGAGGGCAAGGCAGGGAGTGGTGAAAGATGAGGTTGGAGTGGTCAGCAAGCTATGGAGGCCCTATAGACCATGTGGGCAAGCTTGGATTCATCTTATAGGAAACGAGGAGCTACAGGAATTTAAACCACAGGGGGACTTAGTCAGATCTTACCTTTAGACAGCAGGCACACAACAACAGTTATGAAGATTTGAAAATGTTTAGGCAAAAAATGATGATAATAGTGGAATCCGAAACAGAAAGAAACAGATTCAAAAAGTATGTAGGTCATACAATGAGTAGAACTTCGTTGTTTTTATGTTGGAAATGAGGGAGAGGAAAGAGTCAAAGATAATTCTTAGATTTCTAGCTTGGGGCAATCCTTTGATTTTGAAGGTTTTCTGTGCTCATGAACTTCATTAGGACTTATGGACTTCTGTACTTTTCATGTGTATTATTAACAAATCATTTCACTGAATTGAAGTAATAACTTCTACATTCTATAGTCACTAAAATAGTTTTTTAATTTTTAAAGAAAATCTTAAATTAGAGTTTTTAAATGGTTATTTAGTTAAAATATACTTTAAACCATATGGTCTTATCGTTGGTTATAACTATTTTTAGTGTCACAATAATTTTAATGATAAACATTGTACCACATCAACTAAGTTTTCTTTTTTTAAATAAACCAAATATTCTTATTTTCAATATATTTCTATTTTCTTTTCATAGTTTGCAATATTATAAATTTAATTCTTGTTTTCAGTTTGGTGATGTTAGTCTCCTTCACTATCTTAGCCTAACACTCTGATATAATTTTCCATGCTTGTGACTTCTAAATATTTATAAAACAGTTTTTTCTTTGGAACAAAATTGGCACAGTGTTGAAAATTTCTTGAAGATGGGTTATAGGTACTTGAGGTTCTTTAATTTTGCATATACTTAATTTTTATAATATTATGAAATATATAATGCATGCATATTTTTGATATAGATAGATATGGTTAGATTATATTCAGGTAATTTAATTTATAATATATAATCTATCCATGGGGATGACATTAATTTTCTTCATAGTTCTTGAAACAAGTCATCACTTTTAGATGTGTTCACTTAAAATGAAAAGTTTTAGAACCCGCTTAGGTGTGTGGTAGAGCTGACTGCAGTAAAAACAATTGAGACCCCCAAATTGCATTAAAGCATTTTTACAGTTGAAGAGCAAGTAATGGTTTTATCTGGGAAGATCATTAATAGATTTTTGAATGAACTCAAAGTCATTAAGGAATAAGGCATTAAGTGCAGAATAAATAAGTGAAAGTGGAAAAAATTTTAAAGGCTATATTGATGGAAAATAGAATCACCAAATTTGGCTTTGGTGGAATGGTATTAAGTGAAATGGAAATTAAATAAGCTTTGGGCCATGTTGTGTGGAATGCTGAAAGTTTCCAGCAGAAGCTGTTATAATTCCACATTCATTTGGGAATGCTAATGTAATGATGTGGCATAAATGGAGTTGAGAGAAGAAAATCTAGAGCAAGGCAAATCAGTATTGAGGCTCTTGTAACAATTCAAATAAAAATGATAAGGACCTCAACTTGAGTCCTGGTGATGAAAAGGAGAATAGGAGTTGAGGGTGAGTGAAATAATGAAGAGCTGGTATGCACTGTAATTGTCAATGGATTAGGCCTGACAGGGAGAAGGAATTCCAAGCTTTTGAACGATCTTGTAGTCTGGATTGGGGAGCTGTGTCAACAGGGGAAGGTAGTTTTAGAAGGAAGATAAGTTCATCTGATGTCAAGTGTTGAACAAAATGGACAAAGTTTCTGATCCCATAAAGCTTGGAGTTTTATTGGAAGGGAAAGGAAATAAACAACTAACTTAGTAAACAAGCAAATTTGAGAAAATGATAGGTAGTAAGAAATAATCAGATAGAAGGAAACGTTCTTGGAGGGAGAAATAGACTTGAGATACAATGGTCAAGAATCCCTTTGTCCAGGGTACATCCTGAGCTGAAACCTAAACGGCAGTGAGAAGAGGAAATATCCTTCCTAGAGAAGTGAAGGGCAAGTGTGAATACCCTAGGGTGGAAATGAGTTTGGTGTGTTCAAAGATACAAACACCAGTCTGTCTGTCTGGAGCATGGCCTTGAAAATGAGACATAGAGGCTGGCAGCAATCAGATCAGGGGAGTTCTTTTCGGCCTTAGTAAGGAGTCTGATTTCATACTTGGTCAGTGCAAAGGCATTGAAGGGTTTTAAGAAACAGCAGAGTGGAGTGGAAGGTTGTGTATGTGACATGATCTGCTAACTGAAGCCACAGTTGGGATGAGATGCCTTGGGGAGAGACTAAAGGAGAAAGCTTGGTAAGTATCTGACTGTATCCAGGCAGCAAGGAAGAAAGGGAAAGGTCGAAGACATAGGACAGGAAGCAATAGAGTGCTAATGAACAGTCCCCCAAAGAGGAGGAAGTTTGCAAAAGGAGAGAGTTGGTGCAGTGGGGTCAAATGTCAGATGAGGCCGAGAGGTTGAAGGGGCACTGTATTCAGAGGTGTCATCTTATTTCTCATTCACAACACGTATTAGAGTCAACTTGAATTATTCAGTGAAGGAATGTATTTAGTCCAAGGCTCTACACATCTCATGGTGGATGGCATTAGCACTTGCATAGAAGATACATATTTTTTTTAATTTTTAATTTTTTTTAAAGACACAATCTCACTCTGTCAACCCAGTAGGAGTTCAGTGGCATGGTCATAGCTCACTGTAGTCTCAAACCCCTGGGCTCAAGCAATCCTTCCTCCTCTGCCTCCCAAAGCCCCAGGATTACAGGCATGAGCCACTGCACCTGGCCACATAGAATTTTTTAAATGTGGGAACTGGATCTGTACTTACAAACACTAAAGGGACAGTTTTTAAATATGCACATTTCTGTTTTATTTTGTACAAGGATTTCTTCCAAAGTTTCATGATTTTGATTAATAGAGTAATTCCTATAAACTTCTGTCTTATCTTACAGAACCTCTTTAAGAACCACAATGCAAATTAAAAAAAAAAAAAGCCTAACCCTAAAGTCAGGTTTACTGCCTGACCCTGAAGTAGACATTGGTTATGCAGCAGTGAGTAAGATAGGCACTGCCCTTCACCCTCTGAACATGCCATCTCATGGGGAAGAAAAGTGAACCAGGAAAACAGCAAGGAGCAAAGGGAGAGGTTAGCAAGGGCTAATGTCCAGGAGTGGGGAGGCCTTCAGGTGAAGGGGCATTTAAACTAATATCTGAGAAATGTGTAAGAGTTATGAGAAATGGTGGGGATGACATTGCGGGGAGGAGAATCTGACAGTGTCTGCCTGGCCAGGCTCTAGTCCCCAGTTATTCAATCAAACAATAATCTAGATGTTGCTCTGAGAAGCTTCAGCTCTGATTTTAAGGCCTTTCAACTGATTGAATCAGACACATCCAGATTATCTAGAATAAGCTCCCTCACTTAAGGTCACTAATTGTGGTCTCAATCACAGCTACAAAATACCTTCACAGAAACACCTAAGTTGATGTTTGATTGAATAATGGGGAACTCTAGCCTGGCCAAGTTGACCCATATAATTGACCATCACAGAGATTTTTCCAGAGAAGAGAGCATGTGTCATGCAAATACATTGTAATAATGAATTTTCAATCTTTATTAGATTATTCTATATTATAAATCATTCTTATTAGTTAGCTAGTAAGGCTTAACCCTATGTTTAAGTTGTCCTATTTGTCT
The DNA here is from genome assembly GCF_000001405.40 of Homo sapiens. Classification (NCBI taxonomy): domain Eukaryota; kingdom Metazoa; phylum Chordata; class Mammalia; order Primates; family Hominidae; genus Homo; species Homo sapiens. The sequence continues at coordinate 95,350,629 of NC_000004.12, read as the reverse complement.
GTCAATAATTATTGAATTTTTACAATATTCCTATGGGTAATCTTTTTTTGTTCTTCAAATTCCTGAGGTTCACAATACTAGTACAGGGTATGTAGCTCTAATCATTAATAGGGAGTAAGGAAATGGTAGAACTTTTTTTTTTTTGAGACGGAGTCTTGCTCTGTTACCAGGCTGGAATGTAGTGGCACGATCTCAGCTCACTACAACCTCCCCCTCAAGGGTTCAAGTGATTCTCCTGCCTCAGCCTCCTGAGTAGCTGAGACTACAGGCATGTGCCACCATGCCCAGCTAATTTTTGTATTTTTAGTAGAGATGGGGTTTCACCATGTTTGGCCAGGATGGTTTTGATCTCTTGACTTCATGATCTGCCCACTTCGGCCTCCCAAAGTGCTGGAATTACAGGCGTGAACCATCGCGCCCAGCCGGAACTTTTTCTTAATTCCCTATGTAAGACCCTCCACATATTAGCAAACGTTTCTGATATCCTAAAATTAAGCACGTTAAAGTGAATGTCAAGTACTAATGAGTTACAAATTAGTTATAAACATGATATTTACATAACTAGACTAATAGACCAATTTCTATCATAAAGTCAGATTATCTTAAATTTACTATCTTCTATTTCATGATTTCTTTTTATAAGTAAAAAGATTTCATTGAAATATAAAGTGTGGCTTCCACTATAGTAGCTAAGACAGTCTCAGCAAATAGAAAGTGATCAACCAATATTGATTTCTAAGCCAAATTTGAGAAAGCTACTAAACTATGTTAGTTTAAAGTCAGAGGTCACAGACATGAGGACGTTAGGGCATTGGAAAATAGAGAAAAATGAGATAAAGGCAGGAAGAATTAAAGAAATGTTACACATTATACTTACAAGTACCATGGTCTATAAACACAGGTTTTAATGGAGACATCAAGTGATTTTTTTTATAGAGTCAGTATCACTGATTTGGGAGGGTTGAATTTAATGAAGAGACTTGTGGTTATTCTAAGCTGAAGTAATAGGTTGCATGTGGGAATATTTTATTTCTCTATCTCTTGATTTGAATAAAAGCTCAAAAAGCAGAAAAAATAGGAATCACTGATAATCTAGGATTTGAAAAATCTGTTTCAAATAAAGGTTAAAATCCCCCATAAAGCCCTCCAGTCCTTTTCCCCAGAAGTAATGACCATCAATGTTTGTGTGCATCAGCTTCTAGGTTTTACCTTATATTTCTTGTAATGTGTGTGTGTGTGTGTGGGTGTGTGTGTATGAGGGAGATACAGCCACCCACCCACACACACCCACACACACACACACACACCCTTTCTCTCTCATTCTTTTTATTTTTGTCTGCATTTTAAAAATTTGTAATTTTTGTGGGTTCAGAGTAGGTGTATACAGTTATGGGGTACGTGAGATGTATTGATTCAGGAAAACAATGCAAAATAATTACATCAAGGTAAATGGAGTATTCCTTACCTCGAGCATTCATCCTCTATTTGTGTTACAAGCAATCCAATTATACTCTTTTGGTTATGTTGAAATGTATAATAAATTTTTGTTGACTGTGGTCTCCCTGTTCTGCTATCAAATACTAGATCTTATACATTTTATCTAACTATGTTTTTATACCCATTAACTCTACCCCCTCCCGCCCTCCCTCTCACTACCCTTCCCAGCTTCTGGTAACCATCATTCTATTCTCTTTCTCCATGAGTTCGATTGTTTTACTTTTTAGCTCCCACAAATATGTGTGAACCTGTGAAGTTTGTCTTTCTGTACCTGGCTTGTTACACTTAATATAATGTCCTCCAGTTCCACCTGTGTTTTTGCAAATGACAGAAACAGTCTTTTTTTATAACTAAATACCATTCAGTCATAAAAAATCTTTTTTATAGATTGTAGTTTTCATTGGATTTCTGTAATGATCAATGGTGTTGAGCACCTTTTCATATACCTGCTTGCAGGTAGTTTACAAATGGGTACTTTGAAAATGTGGTAGATATACACAATGGAGTACTATACAGTCATTAAAAAATACTTTTAATGACTGAATAGTACTCCATTGTGTATATCTACCACATTGTGCATATCTACCACATTTTCTTTATCCGTTCATCTGTGGATGGACACAGGTTGCTTTCAAATCTTGGCAATTGTGACTAGTGCTACAATGAACATGGGAGTGCAAATATCTCTTCAATATACTGATTTCCTTTCTTTTGGGTATACTTAGCAGTGGGATTGCTTGATTGCATGGTAGTTCTATTTTTAGTTTTTTGGGGAACCTCCAAACCATTCTCCATAGTGGTTGTACTAATTTACATTCCCCCCAACAGTGTATGAGTGTTCTCTTATCTCCACATCCTTTCCAGCATTTGTTACTGCCTGTCTTTTGAATAAAAGTCATTTTAACTGGCTTTACTGGTCATTAAATTTCATTGTAATTTTGATTTGCATTTCTATAATGATCAATGATGTTGAGCACCTTTGCATATACCTGCTTGCCGTTTGTGTGTCTTCTTTTGAAAAATGTCTTTTCAAATCTTTTGCTGATTATTTAATTAGATTATTAGATTTTTTCCTGTACAGTTTGAGCTCCCTATCTCTTCTAGTTACTAATCTCTTGTCAGATGGGTAGTGTGCAAATGTTTTCTATCATTCTGTAGGTTGTCTCTTCACTTTGCTGATTGTTTCCTTTGCTGTGCAGAAGCTTTTCAACCTGATGTGAACCCATTTGTCCATTTTTGCTTTGGTTGCCTGTGCTTGTAAGGTATTATTCAAGAAATCTTTGCCCAGCCCAATGTCCTGCAGAGTTTCCCCAATCTTTATTTTTAGTGGTTCCATGGTTTGAGGTCTTAGATTCAATTCTTTACTCCATTTTTTATTCAATTTCTGTATATGGTGAGAGATAGGGGTCTAGTTTCCTTCTTCTGCCTACGGATACCCAGTTTTCTCAGCATCATTTATTTAAGAGACTGTCCTTTTTCCAGTGTATATGTCTGGCACCCTTGGCAAAAATGAATTCACTGTAGGTGTATGAATTTGTTTCTGGGTTTGTTATTCTGTTCCATGAGTCTGTGTGTCTGTTTTTATGTCAGTACCATGCTGTTTTGGTTACTATAGCTCTATAGTATAATTTGAAATCAGGTAATGTGATTCCTTCAGTTTTGTTCTTTTTGCTCAAGAGAGTTTTGGCTATTCTGGGTGTGTTGTGGTTCCATGTAAATTTTAGCATTTTTTTTCTATTTCTGTGAAGAATGTCATTGATATTTTGATAAGGATTGCATTGAATCTAGATTGCTTTGGGTAGTATGGACATTTTAACAATGTTGGTTCTTCCAGCCCACGAACATGGAATATCTTTCCATTTTTGTGTGTCCTCTTCAATTTCTTCTGTCAATGTTTTACAGTTTTCATTTTAGAGATATTTCACTTCTTTAATTAATGCCTAGGGATTTTATTTTATTTGTAGCCACTGTAAATGGGATTATTTACTTGACTTCTTTTTCAGATTGTTTGCTGTTGGCATATAGAAATGCTACCGATTTTTGTATGTTGACCCTGTATCCTGCAACTTTACTGAATTTGTTTATTAGTTCCAATAGTTTTTTGATGAAGTCTAGGTTTTTCCAACTATATGATCATCTCATCTGCAAACAAGGATAATTTGACTTCTTTCTTTCCAGTTTAGATGCCCTTTATTTTTTTTCTCTTGTCTGATTGCTCTAGCTAGGACTTCTAGTACTATGTTGACTAACAGTGATGAAAGTGGGCATCCTTGTTGTTTTCTATATCTTAGAGAAAAAGCTTTCAGATTTGTCCCATTTAGTATGATACCAGTTGTGGGTTTGTTGTATATTACTTTTAGTGTGGTGAGGTATATTTCCTCTATACTCAGTTTGTTTTAGTCTTTCTATCATGAAAGGATGTTGAATTTTATCAAATGGGTTTTCATCGTCATATGTTGTTGATTTTCATTCTCTCAATAGGATGTATCACACTGATTTGTGTATGTTGAACTATCCTTGAATGCCTGGGATAAATCCCACTGGGCAATGATGAATTATCTTTTTAATGTGTTGTTAAATTCAGTTTGCTACTAGTTTGTTGATGATTTTTGTGCCAATGTTCAATATCAGGGATACTGACCTGTAGTTTGATTTCTTCCGTATGTCCTTCTGGTTTGGGTATAAGGGTAATACTCACCTGATAGAATGAGTTTTGAAGTATTCCCTGCTCCTTCATTTTTTTGAAATAGTTTGAGAGGATTGGTATTAGTTCTTCTTTAAATGTTTGGTAGAAATCAGCTGTGAAGCCATTGGGTCCTGGCTTTTCTTTGCTGGGAGACTTTTTATTACTTCTGTGATCCCCTTACTTGTTAATGGTCTGTTCGAGTCTTGGATTTCTTCATGTTTCAATCTTGGTAGGATGTATGTGTCTAGAAATTTATCCATTTCTTCTCCATTTTCCAATTTATTAGAATATAGTTGCTCACAGTAGACTCCAATGATCCTTTGAATTTCTATAGTATCAGGTGTAATGTCTCCTTTTTCAAAAAACTTGAAAATGAAACCAACTTTTGTTTCATTGATCTTTTTTATTGTTTTCTTCATTTCAATATCCTTTATTTCTGCTCCGATCTTTATTATTTCTTTTCTTCTACTACTTTTGGGTTTAGTTTGCTATAGCTTCTCCAGTTTATTAAGATGAATGTTTAGGTTGTTTGTTTGAAGTTTTTCTACTTTTCAGATGTAGGCACTTAAAGCTATAATTTCCTCTTAGTACTGCTTTTGCCATATCCCATAGGTTTTGGTATGTTGTGTTTCCATTATCATTTGTTTCAATAAATTTTTAAATTTACTTTTTAATTTCTTCATTGACCCACTGGTTGTTCAGGAGCATATTGTTTAATTTCCATGTGTTTGTACAGTTTCCAAGATTCCTCTTGTTATTTATTTCTAGGCTATTCCATTATAGTCAGAGAAGATACTTGATATAATTTCAATTTTTTAATTTTTTAAGACTTATTTTGTGGCATAACACATGGTCTATCCTTGAGAATGATCTATGTGCTGAAGAGAAGAATGTGCATTCTGTAACTGCTGAGTGAAATTTTCTGTAGATATCTATCAGGTCCATTTGGTCCATAGTTTAGATTAAGTCTGATGTTTCTTTGTTGGTTTTCCATCTGGATGATCTGTGCAATATTGAAAGTAGGGTGTTGCAGTTTCCAGCTTTAACTGTATTGAGGTCTATCTCTCTCTTTAGCTCTAATATTTGATTTATATATTATATTTGGGTGCTCCAGTGTTGGATGAATATATATTTACAATTGTTATGCCCTCTTGCTGAATTGACCCGTTTATCATTTTATAATGACCTTCTTTCTCTCTCTCTTTATATAGTTTTTGTATTGAAAAATCTATTTTGTACAGTTATTCCTGCTCTTTTTTGGTTTCCATTTGCATGGAATATCTTTATCTGTTCCTTTATTTTCAGTCTATGTGTTCCTTTATAGGTGAAATGTGTTTCTTGTAGGCAACAGATCATTGGGTCTTATTTTTTTTGTTTTGTTTTATAATCCATTCAGTTACTCTGTGTCTTTTGATTGGTTTAATCAATTCATAGTCAATATTATTATTCACAAATAAGGACTTATTCCTGACATTTTGTGATTTGTTTTCTGTTTGTTTTGCAGTCATCTTCTCTTCCTTCTTTCCATTCTCCCTGTCTTCCTTTTAGTGAAGGTTTTTTCCTCAGTTGGCATTTTTAAATTTCTTTGTTTTTTATTTTATTTTGTGTATGTTTTCTGATTTGAGGTTATCATGAGGCTTGTAAATGATATCTTGTCATCCATTATTTTAAACAGATGACAACTTAACACTGACTTGTATAAACAAGCAAACAGAAAACTAATAAAAACTCTACACTTTAACTTTGTCCCCTGACTTTTTAACTTTTTGTTGTTTCTATTTATTCTTTATTGTACTGTCTATGTCTTGAAAAGTTATTGTTATTATTTTTGATCAGTTCACCTTTTGGTCTTTCTACTCAAAATATGAGTAGATTACATACCAGAATTATAACGTTATAATATTGTGTGTTTTTCGTATACTTGCTATTACCAGTCAGTTTTGCACCTTCAGATAATTTCTTATTGCTCATTAACATTTTCTTTCCAATTGAAGAACTCCTTTTTGCATCTCATGTAGGGCAGGTCTGGTGTTGATAAAATCTCTAAGCTTTTGTTTGTCTGGAAAGTCTTTATTTCTCCTTTATGTTTGAAGTATATTTTCTCTTGATATACTATTCTAGGAAAAGAAGATTTTTTTTCCTTCAGCACTTTAAATATGGCAGGCCACTCTATCCTGGCCTGTAAAGTTTCCACTGAGAAGTCTGCTGCCAGGTGTACTGGAGCTCCATTTTATGTTGTTTTTTTCTCTTGCTGCGTTTAGGATCCTTTTTTTATCCTTGAGTCTTTGGGAGTTTGATTATTAAATGTCTTGAAGTAGTCTTATTTGGGTTAAACCTGCTTGATGTTTTGTAGCCTTCTTGTGCTTGAATGTTGATATCTTTCTCTAGGTGTAGGAAGTTCTCTGTTATTATCCCTTTGAATAAACTTTCTACCTTTATATCTCTCTCTACCTCCTCTTTAAGGCCAATAACTCTTAGATTTGTCCCTTTGAGGCTATTTGCTAGTTGTGGTAGATGTGCTTCATTTTTTTCTCATTCTTTTCTAATTTGTCTCTTCTGACTGTGTACTTTCAAATAACCCGACTTCAAGCTTACTAGTTCTTTCTTCTGCTTCATTAATTCTGCTTTTAAGAGACTCTTGATGTACTCTTCAGTATGTCTGTTGCATCTTTCAGCTCCAGAATTTCTGCTTGCTTTTAATTATTTCCATTTCTCTGCTAAATGTATCTGATATAATTCTGAATTCCTTCTCTATGTTATCTTAGATTTCATTGAACTTCCTCAAAGCAGTTATTTTGAATTCTCTGAAAGGTCATATATCTCTCTCTCTCCAGCATTGGCCAGTGGTGTCTTATTTAATTTTCTCGGCATGGTCATGTTTTCTTGGATGGCCTTGATACTTGTGGATGTTTATTGGTGTCTGTGCATTGAAGAGTTGTAATCTAAGTTTTTGGTCACTCCAGCTATGTGTGCATTAGGTGGCATCCCAAGCCCAGTAACACTATGACTTTTGCAGACTCATAGAGGTCTTGTGGTCTTGGATAAGATCTGGAAGACTTCTCTGGATTACTAGGCAGAGAATTTTGGTCTCTTCCCTTACTTTCTCCCAAACAAACAAGCAGAGTCTCCTTCTCTGTCTACTGAGCTGCCTAGAGCTTGAAGAGGGGTGACATAAGCATCCCTGTCTCTACCCAACACTGGGACAATGCTGGGTCAGACCTGAATCCAGCACAGTACTGAGTCTCACCCAAGGCCCATGGTAGCCACTGCCTGGCTATCATCTATGTTCTCTCAAGGCCCTAGGGCTCTGGCAGCAAAACTAGCCAGGCCTTTGTTCTTCCCTCCAGAGAAGCAAGTTGCCCCCAGCCCTGTGCGGATCCAGAGGTAACATCTAGGAGCCAAGGCCTGGAGTCAGAAACCTTAAGAATCTACCTGGAACTCTATTCTACTGTGGCTAAACTGGCACCCATGCCACAAGACAAAGTTTCTCCCGCTCTTCCCTCTCCTTTCCACCATCAGAGGAGTCTTTTTCCATGGCCACTGCCACTGCCACCCCAGGCCCACAGCAAGTACTGCTTGACTACCACCAATGTTCACTTAAGGCCCAAGGGCTCTTCAGTCAGCTTGTGGTGACTCTTCCTTCAGGGCAGTGGGCCCCCCTTTGGCCCAGGGCAGTTTCAGAAATGCCATCCAAGAGCCAAGGCCTGGAATTGGGAACCTCAAGGGATTCATGTGGTGCTCTGTCCCACTGTGGCTGAGTTGGTACTTAAGGTGCAAGACAAACTCCCTTTTACTCTTCCCTCCCTTTTTCTCAAGCAGAAGGAGCCTCATCCCAGTCCATTCTCACTACAGCTGGGAATGTGCTCAGTCTGAAGCCATATGAAGCCAGCACGTCTCTGAGTCTCACCCCAGAACCACAGCATGTACCGCCTGGATATTGCTGCTGATTATTCAGGGCCTAAGTTCTCTTTACTCAGCAGGTGATTAATTCTGCCAGGACTTGGTCCTTCCCTTCAAGGTAGTAGTTTTGCTTCTGGCCCAAAGCGGCTCTAGAAATGTAGCCTGGGAACTATGGCCTAGAATATGGGCCTCAGGACTGCCCAGTACCCTATCCTACCGTGGCTGAGCTGGTAGCTAAGTGGCAAAAGAAAGTCTTCTTTACTCTTCCCTCTCCTCTCCTCAAGCAGAGGGAAGGAATGTCTCCTATAAGCTGTCAGCCATGCTGCCCATGGTTAGGGGAGGGGTGGCACAAGCACTCCCTTAGCCAGCCTGGCTGGTATCTCACTAGGTAGCATGTTCCCCAAGTCCAGTGGTTCCGAGCCTGGCATAGAACCATTATTTGCCCAAGAATTGTAGTCTTTGTGGCCTAGACTGCCTTTCAAGTTTATTTAGGACCTTACAGCCCTTAGCCCATGGTGGCAAGGCTTAATAGAACGCAGGTTCTGACGGTAAGGATGGGTGAGTCCCCTCTGGCTAGGGCAGTATAAATGCTCCCTCTGTGGGCCCCAGCTGAATTCTGCCCCATTTTGGTTTCTGCTGTGACAGGGTAGCACTCTGTTCCAATGCAAAGTCGCACAATCACTGCCCTCTTCCTCCCCCAAGGACACAGATTCTCTCTCCACACCTCACAGCTACTGCTGGGAGTTGGGAGAGTGGTGACATTAACAATTCAAGACTGTCTTTCCTACATTCTTCAGTGCATTTTTCAGTGATATGAAGTTAAAACCAGGTACTGTGATCACTCACCTGAGTTTTGGTTCTCATGAAGGTGCTTTATGGTGTATATAGTCAATTTGATGTTCCTGCAGGGAGGACAATCAGTGAAGGCTTCCATTTGGCTATCTTGCTCTGCTTCCTCCCCTCCCTTCCTCCCTCTCTCCCTCCCTCCTTTCTTTCTTTTTCTTTTTTCTTTTCTTTTTTTCTTTCTTTCTTTCTTTCTCTCTCTTTCTTCTTTCTTTCTTTCTCTCTCTTTCTTCTTTCTTTCTCTCTTTCTTATAAAAAAAATGGTATAATTCTACACAAACTGGCCAAAAACTTGTTTTATTTGCTTGCCCTTCTAGGTCAATACGTACAAATCCACTTTCTTATTTCTATTGGCCAGCCAGTGTACTTTTGCTTGGATGTTTCAGAAATTATTTAACCATTCCTCAGTTGGTGGTCAGTTGTTCTCAGTCTTATTCAAATAAGTAATTCCAGCTGCCTTTTGTTGTAATATATCATGTATTCTTTAGACAAATAATGCTGCAGTGGACATCTTCGTACATATGTATTTACACTTTCATGTCATTCTGTCTGTAATATGGATTCCAACAAGTGGGATAGCTTATTTGGAGATATGCAGAGATGTAATTTTTACTTATATTGTCAAATTCTATCTTCTGTGATACCCATTTACACTCCAGCCATATATGCAATTGCACATTTCTTCACCTCCTCATCAGTCATTGAGTATTTTTTAGCTAATTTGGTAAGCAAAAATTTTCTTTTGCAAAAAACATCACATTGCATTTATTAAATTATTTGCAAAAGGGGGTAAATGTGTTTGTGTGAAAATGTCTTCTAAGAATACACTGTAGACTACATGGCAGAGGTAGAGATGATAGGCTGGAAAACACTTAGGAGGATAGATTAATTAATAAAAGTCAGAGTTCATGAAGGCTTAAGCGGGCAGAAAATGGTGCCCCCTTTTCAGAGTTAAGTGGATATCAACTAGCATATTAGCTGTATATTATTAATAATGTATGGGCATGATTTGGCAAGTATTTCTTTAAAAGCAAAAAAAAGTTTGTTTTGAAGTTAGAAATCATTCAGTACTTCCAAGTTGTGCAATACATTTAAGGCATTATGTAGTCAACGACTTGAATTTAAATGATGAATCCATTAATATATTGCTTGAAATATAGACCATAGTCTTTGTCTTCCTGAGGATATTTTAATCAAAATATTAAAAATAAGCTGGAGTCTCATTCAACTAGTTAATTCCAGCTGCCTTTTGTTGTAATATATCATGAATTATCTCTCTGATGGATGGGTAGCCAAATGCAGATAACATTAGCTTTGCAGTCATTCATTTTAAATTGCTCTTGAATCACTTGGAAGTAAATTCCATTTCAGAGGAGTATGCTTCAAGTCTCAGACAAAGAGATAATGGTCCTATATTTTATGATATAAGCAATAATAGTTTAAGTCTTATGATTCAGAAATATAGAAACTTATGTATTAAGTTGATGAAAATTAAGGCTTGATATTTAGCAATAAAATCAGCAACCTAAAGCTCCCTAGATTGATGTTCATAGCATAATATATTCCTGTGAAGAATTAGGTGGAATGAAAGTCTATAAAAATAATACATGGTGAAAAGCTTTCTCTTCTTGGGTATAAATGAAACAGCAAAAGCCTATGTGAGATAACAGAAAAAAGGAAATACTGAGATTTATTGATATCAAGATAAAAATGGTACTACTGTTGGAATGTCAGTATTGAGTAATAGTAGAAAGTGGAAAATTAAGTCAAATATCAGAGGAGGGTAAAATGAATAATAGCGTTACATCTAAATCAAAAATGCGTTAAGTTAATACTGAATTCAATGTACAGAACAAAAGCAACTCTGGAAATTTTACCTTGTTAATTTGAATGAACTACATGTACAAAACGTGTTTCACAATTTAATTAATCAAGTCATTTTGCCCAGATAGCACAATGCAGTCAATACCAGCAGCTGGGGTGTGCATTTATAGAAAAGGTAATAATTTGGGATACCTGTGGCATGTTGCCAGAAATAAGTTCACAGTCTGAAGTTGCTGTTCACAAACTGAATTCTTATTATCACCCTAATGTCACTCCTTCAGATATTTATATTAAAAAATAAAGTGGTAAGAGGATGTACTCACTGATGTCCTTGAAGAAAAAAAAATCAATTTTTTTATAGCTCCAAGTTTTGCAGCATGACCTTAAGCTGTTTTTTTCATTTTGTTTTGTGGGGTTTTTTTGTAGTATGGTAATATTAATTGAATTGAAGGTACTGATCTCAGTAAACAGTCTACCACTTCAGGGTGGAATCACAGATTTTCTTATCCCCATGGGTTCAGCAGTCCTTTAATGCCCTGAAAAAGTAAAAATTTTAGCATGGCAGGGATTTTACTTATTTTGGAACAGAGGACCTTTGATGGGCACTAGGGAACATCCAAAGGAAGGCCACAGACACATAAAGTCACACACCTTCCCTTGCACACCATTGCAAATACGCTTGCTTAGAGAATTGATATGAGCCTGAGTTTCTCAGTCTGAACAATTGTGTTTTCCTTTAGAAAATAGCTAATTACCACAAGAAGCTGGAAAACAAACTAAGTTCCAAAATGAATATCCAGTAATAAAGATGCAATTTCATTTTTCAGACTTTCCATGAAGTGAGATGCTCATTTACCTGACATTTGTAGACAGGGCTGGTTTCACGGGTATGTGACCTCTGCTGTCACACAGGACCAGTGTTTGGTTTAATGTTCTGCTGTCACAATCTCAGAATTCTTAATAAATTTTTAATCAGGGATCTTGAACTTTCATTCTACACCGGGCCACACAAATTTTGTAGCCAGTCCTGTTTGTAGATATTTCTATTGTTAAAACATCTTATAATTGTAAATGAATCTGAGGCACTATAAACTCTAAAATTCCTTGTGAATCTCTTAGGAATGATCAAAGTTGCCATTAGTATAATATTCATGCATTTGTAAGATTTTTATTGACCCCATATAATGTGCTAGACTTAGGGAAAATGAAAATGAAATCAATATAGTCCCTGCTTTCAAAGAGTTTCATCTCTAGTGTTAAGCATTTATTGTATATTTCAAGTTTTTTGAAAATTGGTAATAGTCTTATAAAACCAATTGCAAAACTGAAAAGTAGATTCCTCCACTTGTATGACTGGCAAATGCATTACACAGAGGAGCTAAATATTCATGTAGGATAAATAGTATTTGTAGCTGATCACTTTATCTTTAAATACATGTAGCTATAGTCATGCTGGATGTTTAAATTAAAGTTTTCATCTATTATTTCAGTTGAAGAGAATTGGCTTGCTTGTTTCATTTTCAAAACTTTCTCTAGAATAGAAAAAAGTTAGGATACAGTTTCGTAAAAAGATGATTTCTAAAATAACACTGTATCTGAGAATTAATGCTGAAACTTGACAGTTTTCTATGGAGCAAGAATCAGAAAGTGTTCTTTTAGTATGTTAACTTGATGGTGGGACCAACTTCGATGGTTGAGTAAGGTACCCAGCTCATTTTTGTATGTGGAGAAGGCAAGGATTTCACAACAGGGGTGAGCCCACTGATAATCAGCTTATTTGCATTTTATCATATCTGTCCCACTGTACATATCTACTAAATCAAGTTCTTGAATTTTCTATATTAATATCATTCTCAACAACTGAGTTGAGTAATAGAAGTGATATGCCATATTGCCTATAACAGGAATTCATCCAGGGCATAGGCTTGACTTTACTTTGTGAATATTATAGGAAATCTTAATAAACTACTATGCTGTGGTTGGCTAAGGCATCTCTCTAGATAAACTTTTAACGATTGATTCTGCAGAAACTATAATGATATGCAAAGAAAAACTGGATTTATTAAATTAAAACATTTCTAATGATAGAAATCTTCCTTAATAAGTTGCATTTTCAAGTGTTAACAAACATCTTGAAAAATCAATAACTGTGTGAAACCTCAAACCAAGATATAGGTTCATCTCTCTTTACTTGTGGTGATCATGTTGTCTTAAAAGTCAAAATTAAGGAAATACAAAGTTAGTTTGCCCATACATTTTCTAAATATATTGTTAAATTATCACTTTTTTCCCAGCATTTAACAGAGCTGCTTTTGACTTGAAAATGTGTGACTTTTTTGCTTCCATTTGTCTTTTCAGTAGTTTACAATAAAATAATCAGAAGAAAGAGATACATGCTTTGGCAAGGCAGAGTAATCAATTTTTAGTGCCTATGAAGTTTTTCTATAGCATGTGAACATTTAAATACTTTTGCTATATTATTGAATAAGGTAAGGTAGTATACAATCATCTGTATCTTGCAATCATTCCTTTTCAAGTTTTACCTTCTGAAACAATGGCTGAAAGATTTATTATACTTTGCATGCTTAAATAAATAGTTATTAAATACAGTCACATGTTTTATGTGTACAAACATAGTTAAAAAATAAAGTCTAGTTGACCTTCCACCTTCATAAATAGTAATAATTAAAACCAACAGCTAACTTCTATAGAATTTGAGTCATGTTTTGCGGAGCTTTATTGATTATCAGCACTGTCCATCATCACATATAACAGTAAGTGCTTTAGAAGAAAAAAAATTGGTTAAGACCTTCAAGACATCAGTTTCATGCTGATGGATTTGTCAATAGTTCAGTTCCTCATCCCTTTGCCTTTCTGAGCTATGTTTATTTAAGCAGTCTTGAATGTTCTTGCATATTGACTAAAGGAGCTGCAATTGATGGAAACAAGGTTATTCTTTAGTAAGCTGACAATTTTGGTCCTTGATGTTCAACAATGGAAAAACTAGAAATGATGCCCTGCCAAAAGAAAGCAAATTAAGGAGGTAAAGTGAGAAGAAATATCTAGGTATAGGAAACAACATTTACATTTCAGTGTCAAAAATTTACTACTGTGGGCAGCTTGGAATGCTAGTTTTGTCAGTGATGCAAGTGAAGTCAATTTTTACTGCAAAACAGAGTAGCAGAGACCGGACATCATTACTATTTGACAGCTATCTTATGACTTGAATGAAAAAAGTTCCAAGCCAGTTTTCTTAGTGGACAGATGTCCACTATACCAATGGCTATCTTCCAACACAGGGCAACAACTGAAGGAGAAATAAAATGACTTTCAAGACAATATGTGAGCAACCAGCCTTTAAGTACCAATACCATGCTCTATATTTACTACTGAATATACGTACATTTAAAGAACTTGTAAAAAAATTTTAATTTTGACATCAGAGTTTTCAATTACGTATTTGTAACCAGTTTGGGGAATTAGTAATAGCTCTGTTCTCCTCTGTCCCAATTGGAAGATTATTATTAGGCTGAACTTATTTATGGTGTGTTGGAAAGACTGTTTTTACCTTGACTTTTGTAAAACACAATAATAGGTTTTATTATAAAAAGCACATTTATTATTAATTTTTTATTTTGAATCATGCAGAATCCAGGTTTAAAATGTATCTCAAAGTGTGCAAATTATCTAAAGTGGTTTTTAAATTTTGGGTTGAATGAATATTTCACACAATGACATCTTTTGAAAATAACAACAGATTTGAATTGGAACGTAAATATCCTTAATTAAAGTTTCTAATATTTCTGCTCGGCTCCTTGCAAAGTGTGTAAGCTTTATCTATGAGCCTTATGATTTTCAAATACATGTTTCTAATGAAGTTGCTCTTGCTTTTGTCTGCTCTCAAGGGTGACACTCTATAATGGGAAATGTAGTGATACATTGGGAAGATCATGGTTTTTAATTGAGATACACATGAATTCCAGTTTCAGCTCTGCTATTTACTACCTATGTGCTCAGGGCAACTTACTTATCCTCCCTGATGTTGAGTTTTGCTGTGTATAGAAATGGGAATAATAATCCATATCCTTAAATGACCAGTCAATAGATCTAACATACAGCCTGGCACACAGCAGGCATTCAAATCACTTAATTACTGCATTTATAAGTCACTATTTTTACATGACTAGCAAGTAGAAGGCAAGTTGTTACAATGTGTTAACCATCTTCCACTTTCTTCTTCTTTCTCAGATGATGACTTTTTTCATGAACTCCCAGAAACTTTTCCTTCTGATCCACCTGAGCCTCTGCCACATTTCCTTATTGAGCCTGAAGAAGCTTATATTGTGAAGAATAAGCCCGTGAACCTGTACTGTAAAGCAAGCCCTGCCACCCAGATCTATTTCAAGTGTAATAGTGAATGGGTTCATCAGAAGGACCACATAGTAGATGAAAGAGTAGATGAAACTTCCGGTGAGTTTTCCATTGCATTTGCATTGCACTTCAAGATTCACTTACTCACTACTCTAGCATGTGGACATACTGTTATTTCAATTAGTGGAATGGAAAATGGAGTTATTCTCTGACAAAAAGTTTTGAATTGGTTTGGTTAAGGTTTGGTGATCTTGTTTCATGTGTTGAAAAGTAAAATGGTGTGAATAAATCTTGACTTGCTTCCTGTTGGACTACATGAAATTAAAACATGGTTCATACTTAAGAAGATAAATAATGCGAATGAATAGACTGACAATGTTAAATGCCCAAGCAAATAATAATATTCTTGAATTGCACCTGCGTGGTAGTCAGATCTAAATATCCCGAGATCTGGGGAGCATTTTTAACTTGGATAAATTGAACGTGTTTACATTAATGTCTAATGTTAATCCATGTGCATAGTTTGCCCTTATATTTGTTAAGGATTTGTAAATGTCATAGATTCAAAGTATCTTATACTCATAACTTACATCCAAAGTGAATCCTAACTTCCTAACTCTTATCTAAAATTAAATTGAGGGTGATTCAGAACAGTGATAGTGTAGGATTCATGAACAGAAGAAATGGTAATTGTAGCCCTTTCTCAGAGGGTCTTGATCTGATTATCTTTGCCCCTGGCTTGGTTAAAACTCCTGACTTTGCTGCTCTGTAAATACCATCCTTAAAGATAAAATACTAAAGGCAAAGAAAGGATGGAGTAGATTCTAATAACCTGTGGGATTTCAATTAGATATAAAGGATAGCAATTTTCTGCTACACAATGGATAAATTAGGGTAGTTGTGGAATCTCCTGGAGTTCTTTTAAATTGGAAACATATATATCTTTCCATGGTAGCATACGTGTTTTTGCTCTCCAGCAGACAGAATAACTCTTTGAACTTTCAGATCTCTTCCAGACTTATGATTTTGTAATGTTGACATATATTTAAGTATTAATACTTTATTATTCAACATTTTCAAGCCAAAGAATATCAAGCATGACAAAAATTGAAGCATTTAAATATCTTTTTTACCCTTACTAGATATCTCTCTGAACCAAAATGGATACACATGTTCAAAATCCAAATTGTAAATAATTCATATTTGTTCCCAAATGTTGGATTAACCAGAGACAAGTAGAGACCAGCACTTGAGGGCTCTACTTTCTACTTTCAAGATCTCCGACAAGATAAATAGCATATTGATGTGACAGAACATAAAGAAATAGAACAGACTATGAGAGGACTGAGAAGAGGCAACTTTTTAAAAAGCATGTAGGACATATTCTTTATAACATAAATGGTCTTTGGAAAATCAGGTGGCAACTCTACATAATTGCTTGTCAATTTGTGAATCAATATGCTCACTGAATGCAAGCTGATGACTGCAGATATAACTGGGTATCCAATTATAGGGTAGCTTACTTCAGGGAATTGTCCCACCTCTTGGTCTAATTACTCAGAAAATAACTCCACCAGATGTCTTCAAAATCTCAAGTGGATTGAGTTTTATTTGTTTCAGCTCATGTATTTGTATAGATTTCAAACAAATAAGCTTTAATGATAAAAGGAAAGAGAAATAACAAAAACTCAAATACGTTACAACATATTCAGGCTTATCTTTACTAAAATAATGACATGCCTATATAGGAAGATTATAAATAGAAACAAAACTATTCTTTTTTTATTATTATACTTTAAGTTTTAGGGTACATGTGCACAATGTGCAGGTTAGTTACATATGTATACATGTGCCATGTTGGTGTGCTGCACCCATTAACTGGTCATTTAGAATTAGGTATATCTCCTAATGCTATCCCTCGCCCCTCCCCCCACCCCACAATAGTCCGCAGAGTGTGATGTTCCCCTTCCTGTGTCCATGTGTTCTCATTGTTCAATTCCCACCTATGAGTGAGAACATGTGGTGTTTGGTTTTTTGTCCTTGTGATAGTTTACTGAGAATGATGATTTCCAATTTCATCCATGTCCCTACAAATGACATGAACTCATCATTTTTTATGACTGCATAGTATTCCATGGTGTATATATGCCACATTTTCTTAATCCAATCTATCGTTGTTGGACATTTGGGTTGGTTCCAAGTCTTTGCTATTGTGAATAATGCCTCAATAAACATACGTGTGCATGTGTCTTTATAGCAGCATGATTTATAGTCCTTTGGGTATATACCCAGTAATGGGATGGCTGGGTCAAATGGTATTTCCAGTTCTAGATCCCTGAGGAATCGCCACACTGACTTCCGCAATGGTTGAACTAGTTTACAGTCCCACAAACAGTGTAAAAGTGTTCCTATTTCTCCACACCCTCTCTAGCACCTACTGCTTCCTGACTTTTTAATGATTGCCATTCTAACTGGTGTGGGATGGTATCTCATTGTGGTTTTGATTTGCATTTCTCTGATGGCCAGTGATGGTGAGCCTTTTTTCGTGTGTTTTTTGGCTACATAAATGTCTTCTTTTGAGAGGTGTCTGTTCATGTCCTTTGCCCACTTTTTGATGGGGTTGTTTGTTTTTTTCTTGTAAATTTGTTTGAGTTCATTGAGATTCTGGATATTAGCCCTTTGTCAGATGAGTAGGTTGTGAAAATTTTCTCCCATTTTGTAGGTTGCCTGTTCACTCTGATGGTAGTTTCTTTTGCTGTGCAGAAGCTCTTTAGTTTAATTAGATCCCATTTGTCAATTTTGGCTTTTGTTGCCATTGCTTTTGGTGTTTTAGACATGAAGTCCTTGCCCATGCCTATGTCCTGAATGGTAATGCCTAGGTTTTCTTCTAGGGTTTTTATGCTTTTAGGTCTAACGTTTAAGTCTTTAATCCATCTTGAATGAATTTTTGTATAAGGTGTAAGGAAGGGATCCAGTTTCAGCTTTCTACATATGGCTAGCCAGTTCTCCCAGCACCACGTATTAAATAGGGAATCCTTTCCCCATTGCTTGTTTTTCTCAGGTTTGTCAAAGATCAGATAGTTGTAGATATGTGGCATTATTTCTGAGGGCTCTGTTCTGTTCCATTGATCTATATCTCTGTTTTGGTACCAGTACCATGCTGTTTTGGTTACTGTAGCCTTGCAGTATAGTTTGAAGTCAGGTAGTGTGATGCCTCCAGCTTTGTTCTTTTGGCTTAGGATTGACTTGGCGATGCGGGCTCTTTTTTGGTTCAATATGAACTTTAAAGTAGTTTTTTCCAATTCTGTGAAGAAAGTCATTGGTAGCTTGATGGGGATGGCACTGAATCTATAAATTACCTTGGGCAGTATGGCCATTTTCATGATATTGATTCTTCCTACCCATGAGCATGGAATGTTGTTCCCTTTGTTTGTATCCTCTTTTATTTCATTGAGCAGTGGTTTGTAGTTCTCCTTGAAGAGGTCCTTCACGTCCCTTGTAAGTTGGATTCCTAGGTATTTTATTCTCTTTGAAGCAATTGTGAATGGGAGTTCACTCATGATTTGGCTCTCTGTTTGTCTGTTGTTGGTGTATAAGAATGCCTGTGATTTTTGTACATTGATTTTGTATCCTGAGACTTTGAGAAATGAAACTATTCTAATATCGAACGCTTATAACAATTTCATGCTATGTTGGTAACACACCCACACACACATATACACATATATTGAGAGAGATTTCTTCTCTGTGAAATCTTTATTTTTTATAATTGTACATAAAAATTAATTAATATTACATACATCAATGAATAAGACTACCTTATAAATTAACTGTAAACTAAAATAGTTTGCATGTTTTCATTTAAATTCAGGAGAGATAGATGAGAACTAAGAGAAGATTTAGGAAATTCAGTACTTTCTCAGTTCTCCTGAGATTCAGGAATGGAGTAATATACAACATAGCTTTATTAGGAGCTTTCATTTTCATCCAGAACTTTACAGAAAAGGCCAGCATCCAGCCAAAGGCTGACATACTAGACTCATGTAGGTATTACCTTTAAAGTTTTGAAAAACTTGGTGGGAATGTACATTAGTACAACCTCTATAGAAAACAGTATGGAGATTTCTCAGAGAACTAAAAATAGAACACCATTTAATCCAGCAATACCACTACTTGGCATCTACCCAAAGGAAAAGAAATCATTACATCAAAAAGATACCTGCACTCATATGTTTTTCATAGCTCTATTCACAATAGCAAAGATAGGGAATCAACCCAAGTACCCATCAGTGGATAATCAGATAAGGAAAATGTGATATATACAAACAATAGAATACTATTCATCCATAAAAAAGACTGAAACCATGTCTTTTGCAGCAACATGGATGGAACTGGAAGCCATTATCTTAAGTGAAGTAACTCAGACCCAGAAATATATTAATAAATGCCACATATTCTCACTTGTGAGAGCTAAATAATGTGTACATGTGGATGTTGAGTGTGAAATGATAGACAACAGAGACTCAGAAGGATGCAGGTGGGTGAGGGGGGTTGGTAATGAGAAATTACTTAATAGGTACAGTGTATGTTATTCAGGTGATGGATACCCCAAAAGCCCTGACTTTACCACTATACAATCTATTCATGCAACAAATTATACTTATATCCCATAAATTACTACAAATAAAAAGAATGAAGTTAGGAAAAAGGCAAAGATGCCCACAGATACCATTATTAATTGGTATTATTCTAATCTACTAGCCAGTGCCATTAGACAACACAAGTAATGAAGAGGTACAAAAATAGTGAAGAAAGTAGAAAATTATCATTTATGACAAATTATGTGATTTTTTACTCCTGGAAAATGTATGCATTTTAAAAGAAAAAAAATCTTTAAATGAAGAGAATAGAGAAAATAGGTGATAAAAAATTTGTATCACCAACCAACTTTCCTATGTACAGACAGCCAATTCAAATTAAAATGCAGTAAAAGATGTCATTTAGAATAGCTATGTAAAAGAAAACATGTAGGTATATACTTATCAAAAATTTTGCAGAATTTTATAAAGGAAATTTAAAAATCCTACTTAGAGGCAAAAAAGATATCATGACTTACATTAAGGAAAGACATATTCTTGAATGGAAAGGTCGAATATGTTTAAATGTCTAATGCTTATAAATGAATCTGTAATGTCACCATCATTTTATTAAAAATAATTTGGGAAAATAGCTGAGATAATTCTTAAATAGTAGAGTAATGAGGAAAACCCAACTCATTATAAATATAATGCTAAAGAAGTTAAAAGAGTTTGATCTTAGCAGAGGACAAAACGTACAGATTAATAGATTAAAATAGAGATCAAGAAACACTAAAAGACCTAAGGCATTTGTACCTATTACATTACCTAGAATGTAATAAAGATCAGTTTTTCAACCAGTGAGGAAAATAGTTTATTCAATACATGAATTGATATAACAAGATAGGAAGTTGGAAATAGAAAAATAATAAAGAAAACTTGAATCTATCTCATTCTTTAGAATAAAATAAATGCTAGATGTTGGGGCTTAAAATCATCATCATCATCGCCACCATCACCATCATCATTAGTAGAAAATTTGGCAGTTGGTTGGTTGGTTTCAGTGGTGGGCATAGTCTTTTAAATTAAGACACACAATCTATAAGTCTTACAGGAAGGCATTATTAAATTTGAATATCCAAAGCAAGAAAACCACAAACAAAACCAAGAGACAGATTTAAAAACTAGTTATAGTATCTGTGGCTATATATTAGCCAAAGGGCTAATTTTATAAATACATAAATATCTCCTAAACTATATTTAAGGAAAAGATCAGCAACCGAATAGAAAATCGAGCAGAGTTGTTGATATAACAAGATACAGGAACAGCAATGTAAATGGTAATTAAGTATCTAAGGAGATGTCATCAGGATCCAAACATTTGTTAATATGTAGTGTTGATTAAAGGCATAATTTCTTGATGGGTGTTTAAATTGATACAATCTTTTTGAAGGCCCATTTGAAAATACCATCAATATTGAAAGGTATATAGATTTCACTGATTAGTTACAAACCTAGGAACTATCTGAAAATATAATTCCAAATGTGCACAAAGCTTGTCCATTGAACCTTCATTGCTGTTGCATAGCAGGGACTGTTTATCCCTACTGTGATACTTTTAAATTTATTTTTTATTTTTCTGGAAACAGTGTCTTCCTCTGTCTTCCAGGCTGGAATGCAGTGGCATGATCATAGCTCACTGCAAGCTTCAAACTCCTGGGCTCAAGTGATCCTCCCACCTCAGCCTCCCAAATAGCTACAACTACAGGCACACCACCATGCCTGACTAATTTTTCATTTTTTGTAGAGATGGGGTCTTGCTATGTTGCCCAGGCTGGTCTCCAAACTCCTGTGCTCAAGTGATCCTGCTGCCTTAGCCTCCCAATGCACTGGTGAGAGAGGAGAGTTCCCTCCACCCCTTCTGGGACATGGAACAGGGGTATGGCTCATTTACTCTTTAAGCCACACTCAAACAGCTTTCGAGAGGGGGAGCATGCAGGTGAGGGGGTGCAGGAGCTGGGGCGAGTGCCTTTGGGCTCCAGCAGGAAGGAACCCTTTACCAGCCTGCAGCAGTGAGTAGAAGTTGCCTAAAATTTTCTTTTTTGGTTGTGTCTCTGCCCGGCTTTGGTATCATAAATCAAAACCACTATGAGATATCATCTCACACCAGTTAGAATGGCAATCATTAAAAAGTCAGGAAACAACAGGTGCTGGAGAGGATGTGGAGAAATAGGAACACTTTGACACTGTTGGTGGGACTGTCAACTAGTTCAACCATTGTGGAAGTCAGTGTGGCGATTCCTCAGGGATCTAGAACTAGAAATACCATTTGACCCAGCCATCCCATTACTGGGTATATACCCAAAGGACTATAAATCATGCTGCTATAAAGACACATGCACACGTATGTTTATTGAGGCATTATTCACAATAGCAAAGACTTGGAACCAACCCAAATGTCCAACAATGATAGACTGGATTAAGAAAATGTGGCACATATACACCATGGAATACTATGCAGTCATAAAAAATGATGAGTTCATGTCCTTTGTAGGGACATGGATGAAATTGGAAACCATCATTCTCAGTAAACTATCGCAAGAGCAAAAAACCAAACACCGCATATTCTCACGCATAGGTGGGAATTGAACAATGAGATCACATGGACACAGGAAGGGGAATATCACACTCTGGGGACTGTGGTGGGGTCGGGGGAGGGGGGAGGGATAGCATTGGGAGATATACCTAATGCTAGATGACACGTTAGTGGGTGCAGTGCACCAGCATGGCACATGTATACATATGTAACTAACCTGCACAATGTGCACATGTACCCTAAAACTTAAAGTATAATAAAAAAAAAAAAAAATTAAAAAAAAAAAAAAAAAAAAGAAGTTGCCTGTGACAGAGCTCTGGAGCCCCAGAGGGCACATGTTATAAACAATGCTATTTTAGCTTTGCCTCCACGGATGGCTTAAATGTTAACAGCTCCGTGAAGAGTCAGTGTGACAGCCTTTTTGGGTTCCTGCACCCAGTGTGTCCTGAATTCTTTTTCATCATTAAGGAAGAATCAGGTCACAGGAACAGTTTATGAATGTAGAGGATTTTATTAAGTGGCAGAAGTGGCTCTCAGCAGAAGGGGAGCTGGAAGGAGGATGGTATGGGAAGAAGGTGATCTTTCTGTGAAGCCCGGCCATCTGCGGCCAGGCTCCTCTCCAAAGTCATGCAGTCAGAAGTTATACTGCCCCATATCACTGGGGCTACAGGGGAAGAGGCCCTAATACATTTTAAAACAATGAGGTTGCTCCAGATATGAAGCTATAGAAAACTCTCTGAGATAAAATTTAGAATGAAAGCCAAAGTAGAGAACACTGTGTGTGATATGCTTCCATGTATAAAGAAAGAGGATGCATGTATATTTGTATGTGCATTGGAATTTTTCTGGAGAAACATATAACAAGCAGTTGACAGCTCAGAGTCTGGGGTGATAAAGGGACTTTTATTGTTTGAGTTTTTTTCAATCCTGTGAATGTGTTATTTTCATAATAAATAATGAAACCTGAAAAAAAGCCCATACCACTTTATTGCCTCTCTTTGCCTGCTATCATAAATCCCCAATATGGACAAATATTGGTGGAGAAATTTGTAGGCTTTTTACGTTAAAGCTTTTTGCTTTCCTGTGAGATCAGAAATATTGTGAATGCAATTGAAATAAAGGCATTTGTTTTTTTAGGGGTGGAGGTTGGGGGGTTTTCCCTGAAGCTAGATCCACCCTGCAACTTTGGTTCTCAACTGGAGTCTGACTGTAGTATTGTTGGGGACTTAGTGGTTCTTAATAGCAAGAAATGTTAGAATACATTAAGTCTTGAAACGTATTTCAAATCAGGTAAATTTTCTTAGTATTTGAAAAAATCAAACCTGGTTATCCTATGATAAGACAGAGAAAAGACATTGCAAACAAGTTGCTTTTATACATACCTCTGACTTATAATCATATTTAGAAGGATATTTAGTGACAAGCTACATTACCTTGAGACTAAGAAAAATTGACTACATTCAATAAAATATCTATCAAAGGTAACTTCATATTAAAAACCTGCAAGACAATAAAACTTAAACAAAAATTTATTCTCCAACTCATAAAATTTTATTTTAAATTATGAAATCATTAAATAGGAAGCAAATAATTATTTCTACTCACTGAGTATATCTATCCATTGATCATAACAAAATATACTGATTGAAGATCATTCATTACCATTACTCTTTGCCTTTCCATCATTTAAACCACAGTTGCATTTCTTACATGTATGCAATATAAGAAACAGAAAAGTGGAAAGCAGCTTATAATAAATGATTCAGAAATTTTCAATATTTGAAAGTTCTTGATTTGGTAATATAGTAATACATACCTATGTTGCCTTCAAAATTCCATAGAAATCATGATCTACTCAATATTTTGTGGTTACATTTTTAAGAAGAACTCAGGCTCAGCTGTTTGCTTTCTATTTACTTGAAGCCTTTTCAACTCTTGTTTCCATGGTACCTAAGATCTACCATCTAAAAGCAAATATTTTTTTCTCTATGAAGAAGCAAAGGAGATTAGAAAACCATGGTTATGTTGAAATTGTAATAATCCCTGAGATTTTCCTTTTTCATCTTTAATTATTCTCAAGTTAGCAGAAAATATCAATAAGGTCAACACAACAAAAATAAAAGTTCCAGGCCTTATACTGAGCACCTTACATGTATTCTGTTCTTTAGTCATCACAAGTGTCTTATGAGATAATTTCTAAGATTCTCCTTTGGTAAATTAGGAATCTGAGGCTCTGCAGGATGAAGAAACAAACTTGCCTCAAATCACTTAATGAGGAAGTGACACAGCCAGGATATGAACCCAGAGCTCTCTGCTTCCAAAACCTTTGCTCTTGGCCCTGCGCCTGGTGTCTCCCTAAATTTTACCATAACTACTGAACACAGAACAGTTAGTCTAAAAAAGAGCTATGCAATACAATTATTTGTTTTCCCAGGAAGAGAAGGGCTGCTTCAGAGTGTCAGCTGTATGTGCATTTTTCATGTTTTATTTGCCTTCCTTGCCTTGTGTCAGGTTTTCCACATGCAGACCTTTGTGATTCTTTAACATAATAACATAAGCTAGTGCTTAGGGTCTGGTTTTCCATTCTTGAAGGCCTTTGCTCTTTGGCCAATTAGCAAACAGTCAGCCTTAATGGAAAAAAGGAATTGATGAAGAGAAGCTATAATTGGGCATAAATTTAAGTGAATTGCTTCTAATCAAAACCTAGACTTAGGTATACTGTGCTTACTCAAGTCCCCATTTGTTGCAGGAGTGGGAACACTGAAAATCTTCCTCCTTTTGTATTCCTGTTTCAGATACCTCTTCTCTCCATCCAGGCACCAAAAATTAAAATCTCAGCTTCATCCTTCACTCCAACAAGCAAAATGATCATCAAGTCTTGCCAATTTATTTTCAAATTATCCTTCTGTTTTAAGTCTTGCTTATACTCCCCTTCTACTCTTTAATATATAGCTCTTTGATTATCTAAATAGCCACCTACATCTTCTTTATTTTGGCCTTTTTCTTTTTCCAGCAGTTTATTCTCCAAGTAGTTATAGGCCTAAAAAACAAGCGTTCAAATGGTTTTTCCAAGTGGTTGTCATTCCCCCTCTTAAAAATATATAATGGTTTCCCTTTGTCCATGAAATAAAGCACATCCTGCTTGATCTTATCTTCAGTCTTCAGTATAATTGGCTCCTAATCAAACTTTCTAGCTTTGTCCCATAGTTTCACCTTTACCACATGCCTTATATAGTAAGCCGATATGGTTTTTCCTCTTAAACTGTCTTCAACAAACCACCAGTGTCTTATAAGTTCTTAATAGATGTTATTTTGGAAAACAAGAAAACAAAAGCTTTGCAGCCAATTTAGGAAACACTGTAGTAATTATATTCCCGTTTTGGAGAAAGTGTTAAGTCATCTTAATCCATTTGGGCTGCTGTAGCAAAATACCACAGCCTGGGTAGTTTATAAAGAACAGAAATTTATGTCTCAGAGATTTGGAGGCTGGGAAATCCAAGATCCAGCAGATTCATTGTGTGATGAGGGCCTGCTTCCTTCTAGATGGTGCCTTCTTGCTGTGTCCTTACATGGCAGAAGGGGCAAAGGGTGCCTCTCTTGCCTCTTTTATAAAAGCAGTAACTCATTCTTCATGACAATTGCCCCCATGGCCTAGTCACCTTCCAGAGGCCCCACCTCCTAATACCATCACCTAGGGAGTTAGTATTTCAACATACGAATTTGAGGGGATATGAATGAGACCATAGCAAATGTATATTAGCACAACAGTCCCCAACCTTTTTGGCAGGAGGGACCGTTTTCATGGAAAACAATTTTTCCGCAAAGTGGGAGGGGGATGATTTAGGGATGATTCAAGTACATTACATTTATTGTGCACTTTATTTCTATTATTATTACATTGTAATATATAATGGCATGATTATACAGCTCACCATAATGTAGAATCAATGGGAGCCCTGAGCTTATTTTTCTGCAACAGTCCTATCTGGGGGTGATAGGAGACAGTGACAGATCATCAGGCATTAGATTCTCATAAGGCGCATGCAACCTATATCCCTTGCATGTGCAGTTCACAATATGGTTTGTGCTCCTATGAGAATCTAATGCTGCTGCTGATCTGACAGGAGGCAGAGCTCAGGATGTAATGCTCCCTCACCTGCTGCACACCTCCTGCCATGTGGCCCGGTTCCAGTACTGGTCCCTGGCCTGGGGGTTGGGGACCTCTGTATTAGCATGTGAAAGTCTTAGGAAAGGTCTGTAGTGGGAAAACCTTATTTATTTATTTATTTATTTATTTTTTGAGATGGAGTCTCACTCTGTTGCCCAGGCTGGAGTGCAGTGGCATGATCTCGGCTCACTGCAACCTCCGCCTCCCGGGTTCAAGCGATTCTCCTGCCTCAGCCTCCCCAGCAGCTGGGACTACAGATGTGTGCCACCATGCCCAGCTAACTTTTGTATTTTTAGTAGAGACGGGGTTTCACCATGTTGGCCAGGCTGGTCTTGAACTCCTGACTTCGTGATCCACCTGCCTTGGCCTCCCAAAGTGCTGGGATTACAGGCATGAGCCACCGCACCTGACCCGAAAACCTTATTTACTATTTGTCAACTGTAATCTTTTTCACAGAATCTCTAATGAAATATCATGAGATCTTAATGTCACACCAGGAGATGATTTAGGAAATGCTGCTCACACATTTTCAAAGGGGAACTACGGGAGATCTGTATAAATTCTATCAAGTGATGCCTACTCTTTTCTTTACCCTTTTGAGCATTATAATCATAGAAACATGAAGTTTTGAGAACTATGGCAGTCATTTAGTTCAGCTTAATTAATTATTGGCATGCTCTTCATTAAATTGAGTGAAACTAATTTTTTATTATCTTGACTTTGTGGACCTACTTACGTCAGATGGAACTTCAGAAAATAAGTTTGTTCACATCCTGTCCTCTTATTATTAGTCTTAGATAACTTGAAAAAGACAATTATCACATCTCTCCCCTCTTCAGTCTAAACATTATAGCTGAAGAGAAAGCTCCATGAAATCCGGGGTCGTGTCTGTGTTTTTTACTGTTCCTGCTCCTGCTTAACATGGTGTTGGGTACTTAATAGGGGCTCAACAAATACATTTTGAATGAATTAACTATCCCTTATACCATAGTTTTCTTCACTCCACCTCTGTCAGCATCTTACTCATTCTTAAAGAAGTATCTCAAATGCAGTACTGTGAATGAATCTTTCTATATACAAACCCAAGTCATAGGTAAATATGTCCTCATTTCTGTTATTTGTACTTCCATTTTCATTACATTCATGGTGATTGTGGAAATATTTTGATAATTCATATGAAATTATCAATATTTGACCTTCGGCTTTTTCTTTTCTTTTTTTTTTTTTTTTGAGACAGAATCTCGCTCTGTCACCCAGGCTGAAGTGCAGTGGCATGATCTCGGCTCACTGCAATCTCTACCTCCTGGGTTCAAGAGATTCTCCTGCCCCAGCCTAAAAAGTAGCTGGGACTACAGATGCTGCTGGCATGCCTAGCTAATTTTTGTATTTTTGGTAGGGACGGCATTTCACTGTGTTGGCCAGGCTGGTCTCAAACTCCTGACCTCAGGTGATCCACCTGCCTCAGACTCCCAAAGTGCTGGGATTATAGGTGTGAGCCACCGTGCCTGGCCAATATTCAACCATTTTTGAAGTGCAAAAATCACAGTCTTATATTCAATATCATGTGTTATTTATTAAAGTTATATTTATGTATACATATATTAATAGATGTGCATGTATATATAATATATGTAATCTCTGTCTCTTCAACTAGATTGGAATGGTATGGTATAGTTTATATTTTGTAAAGCTTTTTCTTTTCTGTAGTTTATAACAAGGTGCTAAGCACAGGCAATGATCAATGACAGTTTATTTTCTGAGATTATAGCTACTCATCCTACTAAATTTGTGGAACTGAAATTTAGTGAGACAAACCAACAGTGTGTATTTGGAATATTTCATGAATAAGTAATTTGAGGAATACATAAAGATAGCTTAATCTTCTGTAAGAAGAGTTACTTTATACAATAAATATACCTATCACACCAATTGTTATTCTCCATGTAATCATTTTAAATTCAGTTCTCATTAACAGAGTGAACAATTTCAAAAGGAAGTTATGTGGGTTTTGCTTAAATTTTAGTAAATGATGCATAAAATTTGAAAACTCTACTTGAACCTCATTCCATAATTTTTTATTTAAGTCAGTGGGAGTATTGCCTTGGCAAGAATGGAGCTTTATATCTGTAATACAGTTGTCTGCCAATGAAGATAAATGATTCTGGAATTTAAATCAATTATTTATTTGATTTCTTTCTCAGAGGTACTTATTTCAATACCAGAAACTAACAATTTTTCTTTTCAGTATGAGGCTGGCCCCAGGGCTGAGTAAATAAAAATAGAAAATTGATAAGGACCCATGTAGTACATGAAGTCTGTTTCACTGAGTTAATCTGATAATGTCACAAGATGGTAGTTGCTGGTTAGTCATAACAGAATATCAATTGTCCCGGATTGAAAGGTGTAATGTTTTCTCACCTTTACTTTGCAATCATATTCTAGGCCATATCTGTGCAATAAATAGATGCTATTAAAATTTTCTATACAGTATGAAGATTCAAACATTAAAAATCTTCCCCATGGGATACTGAACTATATAGTTCAGCTTATTTTTCATTTATTAGTGTTCACAATTGATTCATCCTTATTTCACATTGACTTTGTCTTTAAACACCTGGGCTAACATGGCCAACATAAACTCAGCTGCAATTACAAAAACATAGTTAGATCAGAGTTCTAGAACTTATGTATTTGTTGCAGTTGCTTCTATTATATCACGCAGATGAATCTCTGCTAGCTGACTTATTTGGGCTCACCTTCTGCGTATAAACGTTTTTGTTTTCATTCTTTTTCTGACTTACAAAAAGAAGAGAAAATTGAAAATTTTTAGGCTACACATTTAGATTCTTTTTGTTTCTAATCTATTGTTGTCATGAAGTTTTTATTTTTATTGTTATTTGTTCATTTTTGGTAATTCCGATATTTGCAAATATCAGTATTATAGACCCTGTATGTACTCCAGAGCACCCCGACTATATCCTATTTGCAGAACTATGTAATTTTAATTTAATTATATCCCATGGGGAAGATTTTTAATGTTTGAATTTCATACTGTATAGAAAATTTTACTAGCATATATTTATTGCACACATATGGTCTAGAACATGATTGCAAAGTAAAGGTGAGAAAATATTACACCTTTCAATGCAATTTTAGCAAGTTGTGTTTCACTAGGGGAAAAGAGAAATTTTCTAAAATTATATACAGTGAGAGTTTTTAGTGTAAGAAACATAAAGGAATTCTCCCCTGCCAATTAACACTTAGGGCAAGGTTACTTGTAACACATAACTCCTCTTCCTTTCCACAGTGAAGATGAAAGCACTGATTAATACAATTTAATCAAGAATATGCATATAAGTAGATATGTAAGTACAGACACACATGTGTGTGTTTTTCCAAATTTAGAAGAGAAAAAATCAAATCGTGTCCACCCTCAGGCCCACGCAGAGGCTACAATAAGAAGCAGGAGTCCAAGGACCGTTCTTCATCCAGATAACATGCTACTGAAACGGACATTTCAGGAGCAAAATTAGTGATTGTGTTGCTATAGCAATTTTGCCACATGCTCAGCAACCGTGCATATGCTGTGGCCTGAGTTTTAATATGACCACTTCAAAGTGAGAATAGAACAATTGTTAAAAGCCATATTGTACTTTTTAATCTAACCTTTGGCTAAAGTATGTGAAGGGTTTAAGAAGAGTCTCTTTTACTTTCTTTTCTTTTCTTTTCTTTTTTTTTTTTTTTTGAGATGGAATTTCTCTCTTGTCACCCAGGCTGGAGTACAATGGCATGATCTCCGCTCACTGCAACCTCCACCTCCTGGGTTCAAGCAATCCTCCTGCCTCAGCCTCCCCAGTAGCTGGGATTATAGGCGCCCGCCACCACACTGGGCTAATTTTTGTATTTTTAGTAGAGACGAGGTTTTACCATGTTGGCCAGGCTGGTCTCGAACTCCTGACCTCAGGCGACCTGCCCACCTTGGCCTCCCAAAGTGCTGGGATACACAGGCGAGAGCCATCTTGTACTTTATTTTTGTGGAAGAAACATGTTTTTAAAAGTTTGGGGTTGTCATACAAAACAGATTAAGCATCATTTTAAAAGAAGTTTAAGAAACAATGTATGGTTAAAAGAGATGGTCCGCTTCCAAAAGAGCATAGCTTTTCTCCTAAAATTTAAATATTATTGTTGGGTGTCTGAACCTATTGTGCTAAATATAAGTAAACTGGTTGGTAATTATGAGATAATGATCCAGGCTGTTGTTCCATTCTATTTGTTTCTGTACCACTAAATCTTAGTACCCATTATTCTCTCAATAATTTGGTCAAAATCTTGATGCTATTTCTCTCTCCCCACCCTATCATTTTTTTGGCATCTTTGAAAACACAACAGAGAACTTTTTAGTTAAAAATTTCCACAATCGATGAACAATCAAATGTGAACCCTTGAGTTGGGAGGACATTGCTAAATAGCTCTGGATCATGTTGTCTTCCCCCGTGTTTACCATCAGTCCTGAGTCTTCCCTCAGCTAGTGATTCTCAGACCAGTCCTGGGGAAGCCTGTTGAAATATCCATTCTTGCCAGATCCTCTAAATAGTACCTTTTGGAGATGTAAAAACCAGCCCATGTAACATGAGCGCTACCATTTGCCAACTATCAGGGTCTGGCAAAAAAGTAAGCACAGCATGTAGGAAATACAGTATCTTGCAATGAAAAGCAATTCTGATGACGGAGCCTTGGACTCATTTCTAATTTCATCAAAGGCTTAACCTGATTATAAAAATTGTGTTCTGGAAGAAAGTTTCCAGAACATGAAGGCAAGAGCCGCAAGGAACTATTAGGGCAGGAAGTGTCAACCCTGGCTGCACTTGACAGTTACCAGGGGGGACTTTTGAAAACACCTAGGTCCTGGCCCCAGCCCCAGAGATAATAATTTAATTGGGAACAGGCCATAGCTTTTCCTCTGTGTTTGTTTTAAGCTCTCTAGTAATGCTAATGTACAACCAGGCTTGAAAACCAGGGTACAAGAGAGATGTTATTTATTGTAAAAGTGTGGCAGAGAGGGAGTACATAGATGTTCTGTTCAAAATCCATGACCTAGATACTTTACTTGGTGCTGTAAGTAGAGACATAACCAAGACTTGATTACTGCACTTAAGGATATTCCAGTCTGGAGGGAGCGAAAGAGAGGAGGGAAAAGAGAGATGGGGGAAAACGAGTATGCTTTACGATTTGCTCAGGCTTTCCTCTCATTCTGAGAATAAATTCATGAAACCCCTTGGTAGTCCTATGGTATAGAGTTACATGGATAGAGCTCCTGCTTTCTTCAATATCCTTTCCCCTGTCTCTGCCTATTAAACTGCTAAAGCAGAAGGATAGCAGCCTTCTGAGGGAAGTGTGGGGAACTCTCAGGCTTAAGTGAATTAAAATTTCACTGGCAAAACCCAGGGGAATGTTCTGTACAAGGCAAGTCCAGGAATGGCAGGCAATGAATGGCATGCCTCTTTTTATAGCTACACCCTGGATGACCCTGGACAATGATGCCCTCTGTATGAAGTGACCTCAGTGACTAAGAGGCTGCCTCTCCACACCCATTCGGGGGGCATTTGTGAAACCAGAAAAACACTGCATGGCAGACAGTTTTTTCTCACCTTTTTGCTCTATCAGATTTCTGCATCCAGGCTTTGAATGGACAGTAAGTGCCCTTAGTCACTGCATTTGTCTCCTAGGCTTAAAACAACAGAAATATATTTTCTCATGGTTTTGGAGGCTAGAAGTCTGAAATCCAGCAGAGCTGCCCTCCTCGGGGAGCTCCAGGGGAAAATCTGTTTCTTGTCTCTTCCAGTTTATGGTGGCTGCCCTGGCACTCCTGGGCTTCCAGCTCCATCACTGCGATCTCAGCCTCCATCTTCACGTCACCTTCTCCTCCACATCTGTCTTCCTCTCTGTGTGTCTCTTCCAAGGACTCTTGTCATTGGATTCTGGGCTCACCTGGATAATCCAGGATATTATCCTGGATTACCTAAAAGTCTTGTTTATATTTTTCAAGGTGAACATATTTTTATCTGCACTTGATCTGTATTTTCCCCTCTGCTGTCCTCCCAGGCTGTTCATCTCCTTATCTCAAGATCTTTAACTAATGACTTCTGCAAAGACCTTTTTGTCAAACAAAGTAAGATTCACAGGTCCCAGGGATTCAGACATAGACATATCCTTTGTGGGACACCATTCCGCATTCAGCCCACTACAGCCACCAAGCATTTGTCAAGAAAAAAAATCACTTAATATGACAGTGCAGGAGGGAAGTGATGGTGGAGAGACCGAGTAGGAGTGGTGGGGGTTGAAAGTAAAGGCACTTACTTACCTGGCTGTTTTTCCTCATTTGGTCGGTATTTCTAAGGTAACTATAAATGGAACAGGCAATGAAAGCATTCCCTAGTGTTCTTTACCAGCTTTCTGAGGCCTCCCCCAGTCTGCTGCCTTCTACTCGGGGCCAGAGACAGGAAGAGAACTGCTCAGCCTGGCTCTGCATAGCGCTCATTTTCCTCCTGCTCACAGCATCCTTGCCAGCCCCTGCACTGTGACAGCCATTCCGTCTCATTCTCATTGCCACGTTTCTCATACAAGTTCTTTCTCCACATTGTTGCCAAAGCCAAACCAAAATAGCCAATACAATCAAAAGAGCTTCACTTTATAATTTCCTTTACACACGCACATATACACATGCACACACACGCACACACTTATTTTTGCTTGGCCTAGCAACACAATGGGAATGTAAACACGTTGTTAATGCAGCCGCTCTCAGTTGGCTTCCCAGATGGCTTGAATTCAATAGATTTTTCCCCCTGATTTCCTCAGCTTCTCCTAGCAAGTGCTAAACAGCCATTATGCCTTTTCCTGCACATTGAGATTCATCTGCAACTACTAAACTGCCTCCAAAGTGCTTCAATTTTGCATGAGCGCTAAGCTGGGCACTGGGAGACATTACCCAGTGCTGAAGGCCCAGATCATTAGAAAGAGCATGTAAATCCTCTGAACCAGAAATAAAAAGTGCAGAGATTTCCTTTGTGAAGTCCCAACTGCTGCTTTATGTAAAACATGAACCTTTGGCAAGGTTATATGTGGTCCCATTCCCTTTTATTTTTGCTTTTTTTTTTTCTTTTATTTTGGCATATGTGTTCTTTTTTTTTCTGAGCAGTGAGATTTCCATCAGGAACATATGAAATTACAGCCATTCTCTGTCATTATTTTTCTTTTTAGGACCTCAGATCCCTCTTCACTTTTTATAGGGATAATACCTTGAAGTATTGCTAAAGGATCTCCTACATGATTGACTTTTTAAAAAACTTGCTGAATACCAAGAAACTTTGAGGTGGGATGGATTGACATTTATAAGATATGTACAGGGGACAAAAATCTATATTATTTAAGTATAGATGTAAGGAGTATGCAGATATTGGATTATGGACAGAAGTTGGAATACAAGCTAAAAGGGATTGTGAAAACTGTTAATGAGAAAGCAGTGGTTCTATTCTTCTCATTTTTTGATAGGTATTTCCCTGTGCATTATTACCTAAAAGTCTTGTTTGTATTTTTCAAGGTGAACATATTTTTATCTGCACTTGATCTGTATTTTCACCTCTGCTGTCCTCCCAAGCTGTTTGTCAGACCATCTTGCCACAAATTAAAAGTGTGCCTGCGGTCAGCTCCGAAGCGCCTATGAGAGGGTGGGGATGCTAGGCTTGGAATCCTGAGAGCCCCACGGTTTTGCATGCTGTGGGGTTGGGTCCACACTCCAAGTCCTTGGCTTTGTAACAAAAAGCACTTATGATGGACAGGTTGACTCTCCATCTTTATTTATTATTTCCTTTGCAGTAGGATTTTTTGATCAGTTGTAATAACATTTATTTTGATCTATCATGTACCCATTTAAGAGTAATAAACCAGGCTCCTTTTACATGTTTTCTCTATAATTATTTCCCTTTTTTCCATGTACATATATAGTAGGTCATGCTATCTTCCTTTTAGGATTCTGAGAGTAAAAATGTGAGCTTGATGTACACTTAATGATCAGATACAGCAGTTCATTATTTATCTCTAAACACATTTCCAAGGACATTTATTAACCACTGATTTATTCAACAGTGAATATGCAACTGAAATCTGACAGAAGTGTTACCAAATGGGCTTATAATAAGATATGAAGTAAATGCATTCCAACTTGGAAGTAAAAAGAAAATACTAGATGAATAATATGCATACAAATGCACACAGAGACATTAGGAGCCTATGTATACTCTCTGTGTAATATATCCATTTTTATGCTGAAACTCAGTTTTGTTTGTCAGCATGTTGTATGTATCCTTCAAGCTAAATATTCCTATCCGTTAATTTTCCTTTACTAAAAACATAGCTAATCATGCAAATGTCATCATCTTTATTAGTGCTAGTATCATTGCAAAATATTATTTACTATGATCCATACCTCATGGCTCTAACTGCATATATTAAATAGCTACCTTTCCTGTTCTTCTTCTAGTGGAAATTGTTTATCCACAAAAGTATGTGTCCTTTGAAGCAATACATTTGTAAAATAAAGGAAGAAGAACAAAACTTTGCCTGGAGATATGAATAGACATGATTGAAGCTGTTTGTTCGATTGTCAATATTATACAGTTACATAAATGTCTCAGGGAATTGGAGCTCATAGTGGGAAACAATCATTTTTCTTTTTTTTCTTTGTAATGCTAGTGTAGAATAGACATAAAGACATTACAAGTTCCAAAAATACTCAGAATCTGGGTTCACTCCTGACTAAGGCAGGAAGAGCTGCCCTGAACAAGGTCACCTTCCTAAGATTGTTATGACAATGAATGTACCATTCTAACATGTTTCAGCCATTCCATCTTGGGAGTAGGGGGTGTCTAAATGTTACAGCAGCTTACCATAACACAGACTTAAATGATATGGAATATAATATGCTTGGCACACAGTAGGTTTTCAGTAAATACCTATTGAATAAATGAATGAAAAAAATACTTATAAAGTCCATGAAACTTTGTTGCTTTTTTACCATGATCCAATGCTTACCTCCAAACAATTAAAATTTATTTTTAATTTGACATTTTTTTAGATACACAAAGACGGATTTCCATTAATTCTGAGGGTTTTCAAATATCTGAATATTTGATTTTAATATTATGCCCAACTGCCTCAAAATGCAGATGAATTTACTATGTGACAAAATATTATTTTCACAATTTCATGTTTGCAATATTTTTCAAAATGTATTTTCCAGTATAAATGTTGAACAAATTGACGTGAAATACTAGGTCATAGTGTTTAAGTACCATTATCATTTTCTTTACAGTCAATCATGTTTTGATGTTTTTGCAAGAGATAAAACTGAAACCACAGAAAAGTGACATCTGATTTGTGAAGAGCCTTGAATAGCAGCTAGAGAGCTCCCTGAGGGGGCTCACATTCTAGTTGGAAAGTGAAGGAAGCCTCCAGAAGACATGATTATACTCATGAATTTTATATCTTTTTTAAAATATGGATGTTAGCTTATTCTGTCCAAAATTAGTCAGAACTAACCTACTTAGTAATTTCTGTTCAATTGCTTAATGTCTCTGCCTCACCTGTGTTATTGAATAGGGATCTAGGGAATGCCTGATAGAGGAGCTGTGCAAGCATTGTGGTTGTCAAAATAAGTAGACCTTATGCACTTTGATTCTTCATGTCAGGATAGCTCCGCTATATCTACACTTCAGGATGGTGGGGTTCTGGAGGATTAGTAAAATTCCAGGTGGCTTGGCTGAAGGAGAAGAAACTTAAAGGCAACTCCCCTGAACTCATTTCTAGTGTTCAGAATCCATTTCTAAAGAACCTAGCCTCATCTGCATTGCCCTGAACAACTGAAATCTTCACTCAGACTTGACTTGCCCGAGTCCACTGAAAATTCCCCAAACCAGTCATGTCTTTCTCATCTGGGTATGTGACTAATATAGTTTTCAATTAGTGGTGCTCTTCTCCCCTCCTAAGTCTTTATAGTACCTCAAATGATAATTTTGTGAATAGAATACAGCTTTATTCACAAGATAATTATGATGCAGTACATTTTAAAGACATTTTATGGATTTCAAGTACTTTCATAACTGTTATTTCGTTCCTTTTCTCACAATGCAGCAAGACAAACACATTTTTAGTCTTATTTCACAAGATGGGAGACCAAGGTTTGATGAATTTAAGATTTGCCAAAAGTCAGCCAATACGTACAGAGCAGAATTTACTTTCTTATCTCAATAAATCACTAGGTTGTTTTGTGTTAGATGAATATGTTTTCAGTCACCTAGTTGCAATAATAATTGTCCTGGGTGAGTGGAATTTTTAAACATATGAATCTTTATAGTATGCTTTTTAAAGTTGCATTAAGATTATGAAACATATTGCTTTTAAGATAAACAAATAGCAATCCTCAATAGAACATACTATGTGTGAACTGTTGTTAAGTGGTAGTCACTCAGAAGTGATTGCTCTTAATGCTTGTTTTCAAATCATTTGGAATAAATGCAAAATGAAAGCCCATGAGGATGAGTAATTATTATTCTGGATACATATACCTGGTTTCCACTGTCAGACAGTGTTTTTAGAGGGTCAATAAGGATATTGCTCTTAACACTTATGATTAATGACTTGATGTAAGATCGAAGATCTGAAAACCATTTTGTAATAATAATTAAAATTAAAATTATTAAAATTCCTTTAAAGTAAGTCAGTGTATCCTTGTTTACTCATAGAGACAAATTAATCTTCCTGCAGCATGTCATTTTCAAAACTGTCATTTTACCAATTTACAATTTTCACAATCTCACTGCTCCAAAGAACCAACTTCCCTAGCTGCCATTCACAGCTCTTCATGAATCTTCTCTTCTATCTAATTCAACACTTATTCCTTTACTCAATGAATGTAAACTACTCTCCCCTAGAGTGCTCCATGCATTTTCATCTCTGCTCTTTGGCTTCATGCTATTCTCTCTTCCTGAAGTGTCTTTGATTCCTTTCTCTAAATCTTTAAACCCAAACCTTGTTTCAGTGTCAATCTCAAATATTCCACTTTGCCATGGTCCCTCAATCTGTCCATCTGAAATATTTCACTATACCTTTTGTCATGGGATTTCCAGAATTTTCTAAGTTTTGGACTATTTTTATTCAGTAGATCAATGTAGAGAATGCTAAACAAAACCATACTGAGAGCCATGATGAGGTGAGTTTCTGTGGCTACGTTGACTGTAGGGCTGTGTGGTTTAACAAATTGAGGGAAAATGATGCTAATCTGTACTAAACAGACTTCTTTACTACAGAACTTCTGACCAATGCCTTCAATATATGGATGGGCATTCTGAGTTTTGTAGAGGAGGGTGTATTGAACAGAAATTCCCAAGCTTGTTTGACCATGGAACTCTTTTCTGAGACATAGTTTCAGGAATATTGGTGTAGTGAAAGGAATAGGAACATTGGATTCAGACACATGTGGATATAAATCTTTATTTTGGTACTTATTGGCTATATGAACAATTGTTTAGATTCTGATCTGTGCTCTTTACATATTTATTATAGATTTGACAGTATGAATCCCCAAGGATTGTTATGCAGATTAACTGAGATGCACAGTAGCTGTTCAAAAAATACTAGTTACCTTTACTCGTCTAAGCTACAATTAAGTTTATTCTATGCCTGGGATTAAACACTTTATTTTCTGTTGTAACTATATATATGTACAGATCATTCACTTATTTAACATATATTAACTGGACAAATATTATGTGCCAGTTACTGTACTGATGGATACAGAATGCATAGGACAGGGCCTATGCTCAATGAACAACTATTTTATCTCTAGTCTTAGTATCTTCTGAAGGGAGGATTCATAAGCATTTCATCAGTGTGGCCACCTAAGAAACTATCATAATGAATGAAATATGTGCTTAAGAATTATCTTCATACTGGAATGTCACCCACAGGAGAACAGAGACCTTATCTCCTTACGTGCTTTCTTTTCTGGTTTTGGGGTTTTTTTTGTTTTTTGTTGTTGTTGTTTTTGTTTGTTTGTTTGTTTTTTGAGATTGGATTTCACTCTGTCACCCAAGCTAGAGTGCAATGGTGCAATCATAGCTCACCATAAGGTCAAACTCCTAGGCTCAAGCAATACTCCTGCCTCAGCCTCCTGAGCAGCTAGTACTGTAGGCATACACCACCGTGCCTAGCTAATTTTCTGATTTTTATTTGTAGAGACAGGGTCTCTTTATGTTGCCCAGGCTGGTCTTGAATTCTTGGCCTCAAGCAATCCTCTTGCCTAGGCCTCCCAAAGCTCTGGAATTATAGGCATGAACCAGTGTGCCAAGGTGATATCTTCTTTCTTTAGCACTGTATCCTCAGCACATGGAAAAGAAAAGTTCTTGTCACATAGTAAAGTCTCAAGAAATATCTATTGAATGAATGACTGGACAAGACTAATAGTGAGGTCTATAATTCACAAGTGTATAGTTAACTAGATTTCCACGAACACATTACTATGCCCCACTTTCGTTAACAGGCATCATTTTGTTAAATTTTATTAAAATTGTATTAAAACTACTCATGAATGCCTGAAACAAGGAAGCAAAGACATGCATGTAGTAAGATTTAGGTCATAATTAGGAATTATATTTTCCAAGAAAAATGTTGGAATATACATTCAAATATGTGTAATATATTCGGTGTTTTAGGACAAATATTTAGAAGAATGTTGCATTTGCTAATTCAGTGGAACATGCTTTGTTCCCTTCCAAATTAAACAAAGTGCTGTCATGTATTCACAAAATTGTTTTTTTTATATTCCAAAGAATATTGACACACAAGGCATAAGTTAATTACAGAAAGCATTTTAGCTGCCCTTTTAGTATCAGAAAGTCT
The DNA here is from genome assembly GCF_000001405.40 of Homo sapiens. NCBI lineage: Eukaryota > Metazoa > Chordata > Mammalia > Primates > Hominidae > Homo > Homo sapiens. The sequence goes on along the minus strand of NC_000004.12, from coordinate 95,311,213 downwards.
TCTTTGCACACATTTGAAAGATTTTTTTTTAATCACCAAAGTTAAAAAGAATTAAATGACAGCTAGTGCTTGTAAGGTTGATTTCTAGCAATTCGTTGCAACTTTAAATGTAAAACAGAAATATTTTGCACACCCACCATTCAAGTTATCCCTCAGATATGGACTCTAAGTTTGATGTTAGTTGGAAAGTCAAATCAAAAATAGAAGGCCTAGTTCTCCTGTAAAACTCAAAACCTGATGCTCGCACAAAGGAAAGAGGAAAACTGTGTTATGATTGCCAGAGTAAGTTTTATTTTTCATTCTATGTAATATTGTCTTATAATTAAAATTTCAAGTTTTAAGGCAGAAAACCGTGCGTTGATCTATAGTTGTCATAGAGCTTTCTAGAAGCACTAGAAATCCCCCCCCAACCCAGTTACACAATCCAGTGAATATTCTTCTCAGTTCTAGACAAAACAAAAATATAACAAAGCACAGATCCTCATTTGACACAGGCTGCCACACAGAGCCAAGTTCCTAAAAACTATGGCCATAAAAAGGAATTGAGTCAATGACCTAGAAATGCTTCCAAGCAAATCCCTTGAACCACTCAGTTTCAGTCATATAAATTATTTAACTTTTGAATAAATTTAGCCTTCTACATTTATTAACAGAATTGTGTATATTTATGGTGAATAACATGATGTTTTGAAATATATATCATGGAATGGCTAAATCAAGCTAATTAACATATACATCACCTCATATATTTCTCATTTTTTTTGTAATGAGAACACTTAAAAATCTACTGTCTTGGCAAATTTCAAGTACACAACACATTACCATCAACTGTGTTCATCATGTTGCACATCTCTTGAACTTACTCTCCCTGTCTAACTGAAATTTAATATCCTTTGACCAACATTTTCCCAGTCACCCATCTTGGGACCCCCTACCCTCTGTGAACCACCATTTTTGCTCTGCTTCTATGGTTTCACCTTTTTTAGAATCCACATATAAGTGTGATCATGCAGTATTTGTCTTCCTGTGCCTGGCTCATTTCATTTAACATAATGTTCTCCAGGCTCATCCAAGTTGTGGCAAATCAAAATATTTCCTTTGTTTTTAAGGTTGAACGTTTTCCCCTGTGTATATGTACCACATTTTCTACCACCACTCATCTATTGATGGACACTTAGGTTAATCCCATGTCTTGGCTATTGTGAATAGCCAAGTGCTGCAGCGAATGTAGGGGAGCAGATATCCCTTTCAAATACTGATTCATTTACTTTGGGTATACACCTATTAGTGGAACTGCTGGATCATATGGTAGTTTTATTTCTGTTTTGTTTTGTTTTAAGGAAACTTCATACAGTTTTTCATATGGCTGTATTAATTTACATTCCCACCAACAGAGTGCAAGGGTTCCCTTTGCCCCATATCCTTTGCCAACACTTGTTATCTTTTGTCTTTTTGATAGTAGCCATTCTTCCAGGTGTGAGGTGATATCTCATTGTTTTAACTTGTATTTCCCTGAGGATTAGTGATGTTGGACATATTTTAATATACCCTTGGCCATTTGTATGTCTTCTTTTGAAACGTGTCTTTTGGGATCCTCTGCCCAGTTTTTTAATTGGGTTCTTTTTCTTGCTCTTGAGTTGACTGAGTTCCTTATATATTTTATCTATTGACCCTTTATCAGATGTATGGTTTACAAATGTTTTCTCTCATTCCATAAGTTGTCTCTTCACTTTGTTGATTATTTCCTTGCTGTGCAGAAGCTTTTTAGTTTGATGTATTCCTATTTGTCTATTTTTGCTTTTGCTGCCTGTGTTTTTGGGGTCATATTAAAAAAATCATTGCCCAAACTAATGTCAAGGAGCTTTTCCTCTATGTTTTTTTCTAGCGGTTTTACAGTTTCAGGGTTTATATTTAAATTTTTAATCTATTTTGAGTTGGTTTTTGTATATGGTATGAGTTAAGGGTCTAATTTCATTCTTCTGCCTAGGGATATCCAGTTGTCCCAACACTATTTATTGAAGAGACCGTCCTTTCCCCATTGTGTATTCTTGGCATCTCTGTCAAAAATCAATTGACCATAAACATATGGATTTATTTCTGGGCGAGCTATTTTGTTCCATTGGTCTGTGTGTCTGTTTTCATGCTAGCATTATGCTATTTTGATACTGTAACTTTATAGTAGATGTGGAGATCAAGTAGTGTGATGCCTCCAGCTTTGTTCTTTTTGCTCAAGATTGCATTAGCTATTCAGGGTCTTTTGTGATTCTATATGAATTTTAAGATTGTTTTTCTAATCCTGTGAAAATTGTCATTGGAGTTTTGATATGGATTTCATTAAATTTGTAGACCACTTTGGGTAATATGAACATTTTAACAATATTAGTTTTTCTAATCCATGAACATATCTTTCCATTCATGTTTTTCTTGTTCTTTTTTTTTTTTTTTTTTTTTTTTTTTTTTTTGAGACAGAGTCTCACTCTGTCAGCCAGGCTGGAGTGCAGTGGCACAATCTCGAATCACTGAAACCTCCACCTCTCAGGTTCAAGCAATTCTCTGCCTCAGCCTCCCAAGCAGCTGGGATTACAGGGGCCTGCCACCATGCCCAACTTATTTTTGTGTTTTTAGTAGAGACAGAGTTTCACCATCTTGGCCAGGCTGGTTTCAAACTCCTGACCTCAGGTGATCTGCCCGCCTCAGCCTCCCAAAGTGCTGGGATTACAGGCGTGAGCCACCGCACCTGGCCTTCCATTAATGTTTTTCTTCTTCAATTTATTTCTTTCATGTTTTATTGTTTGCAGTGTACAGCTCTTTCATCTCTTTGGTTAAATTTATTTCTATGTATTTTATTATTTTTATAGCTATTATACATGGGATTATTTTCTTTGTTTCTTTTTGGGAAAGTTTATTATTCATGTATAGAATCATTACTGATATTTATATGTTGATTTTGTGTCCTGCAACTGTACTGAATTCATTTATTAATTTTAACCGTTTTGTTTAATTTATAGGATTCTCCAAATGTAACAGCACATCATCTGCAAGCAGAGACAATTTCCTTCTTCCTTTGTGATTTAGAATTTTTTTCCTCTTGCATAATTGATCCATCTAAGACAGTACTATGTTGAATAGAAATGGCAAGAGTGGGCATCCTTGTCTTGTTCCTGATCTTAGAGGAAAAACTTTCAACTTTTCACTGTTGAACGTAATGCCAGGTCTGGGCTTGTCATATATAGCTTTATTGTGTTGAGCATTCATTTTCTATCCAATTTGTTGAGAGTTTTTCTCATTAAAGGATGTTGAATTTTGTCAAATGTTCTTTCTACAGCTATTAAGATGATCGTATGATTTTTATCCTTCATTTTGTTGATGTGATGTATTACATTGATCGATTTGTAAATGTTGAAACATCCTTGCATCCCAGGGATATATCCCACTTGATAAGGGTGCATGATCCTTTTAATGTGCTGTTGCATTTGGTTTGTTAGTATTTTGTTGATGATTTTTGCATCTTTGTTTATCAGGGTTATTGGCCTGTACTTTTCTTTTCTTGTAGTGTCCTCAGCAGGTTTTGGTAAGAGGATAATGCTGGCTTTGTAACATGAATTTGGAAGTAGTCTCTTTTCTTTAATTTTTTGGAAGAGTTTGAGAAAGGTTAAGTTTAGTTCTTCTTAAATAAAAGTGCAGGTCCTGGGCCTTTATTTGATGGGAAACTTTTTATTTCTGATTTAATCATCTTACTGATCATTGATTGGTCTGTTCAGGTTTTCTATTCCTTCATGATTCAGTCTCTGTAAGTGTTGCGTTTCTTACATTCATCTTAATCACAAAGATAGTAGCTGTAACTTTAACAAAATTATACTCATAATAAAGCTAATACACCAGCAAGTTGCAATTCCCACTTGCATAGAATAATTTTAGTTAAATTATATAGTTTGCTTATATATTAAACATTATATTAAAAATTTAATTAAAACATTTCAAAGAGTAGGTAAATTTTGTGTATACAATGTCTTCCTGCTATAGTAGTTAAAGATTGTTAAGTGACTTCATGTAACACATGAAGTCTTGATTCTGAAATTCTGCCTTTTAAGTTATCACACTTTAATTACTTTAACGAGAGTTATAAGATGCTGAAATAATAATCAGTTTTTATAGTATGACATCCTTCTAAATAATGACAGGGTGTTTTGTGATTTAATTAATATTAAGACATCTAGAACTGATATGTTTCATATTTTAAATAATACTAGTAAAAGCTTATAATAGAATGAAGCACTGGAAGAAAGAACCAAAAGATCACACTAATTCAATAAAACTTTGTAATATATTCCAGAACATCCCAACCTGCAGCTTTGTATATTTCTTACCAACCTGTGTCCTAACTGTGAATGTACTATAATGAAATTTGGTGGAGGGAGCTCTGCAGTTCTTCTCCAATTAGAGAGATTGCTGGAGAAAGCCAAATTGCCAGGCCTGCACAACATGATATCTTAAAACTTCCTTTTGCCATAAGAAAGATAAAGCCATGGAGAGGAATCAACTCAGGCATACATAATACCTAAGTCTAAAGTTGAGTTAGGATACTTTTGAAAGAAATATACATGGAGTATCAGAAGGCGCAAATTCACTATCATGAAAATGTGTTTTAAGATGATGTGTGATTTTTTTCAGTGTCACCTAATAAACAAGATATGTTTATAAAATACATGAAGAGGCAGGCGTGGTGGCTCATGCCTGTAATCCCATCACTTTGCGAGGCCGAGGCGGGTGGATCACGAGGTCACTAGATCAAGACCATCCTGGCTAACATGGTGAAACCCCATCTCTACTAAAAATACAAAAAATTAGCCAGGCATGGTGGCAGGCACCTGTAGTCCCAGCTACTCCGGAGGCTGAGGCAGGAGAATGGTGTGAACCCGGGAGGCAGAGCTTGCAGTGAGCCAAGATCGCGCCACTGCATTCCAGCCTGGGTGACAGAGCAAGACTCCGTCTCAAAAAAATAAATAAATAAAAATAAAAATAAATAAAATATATGGAGAGCTTAAGGCTAAGTAATGTTTGATTCATCCTTACATTTCTGCAACTTAGCATAATATCTGTTATTAATGGACTTTAATACTTACTTTATTTGATAGCACTGTAGATTACATTTTGGGGAAATACAGATATTATTTTAAGTAATCATTTAATTGGATTAAGCATGTATTTGTGCTCACTTTATGGTAGTATCCTAGAAAAACAGTATTTGTGGTGCCTTACCACTATTATGAAATTAAGCATATGCTAAAAATAAGAAATAAATGTCATGTCATTATCAGGTCTTATTGCCATATTCATGTATGACCTCACAAAGATCCAATCAGAGGGTTGCATTTGAATCTGAATTTCTATATTCATTTGAAATGTATTATTAACAAGTGCACACTCATACTCATCATAAGACTTCTTGGAATAACATGCTAATTACTTTCCTGCACTCTGGCTCCCAAACTACAACAAATCCTATTATAAAAACAAATCACTGCAAACTTCAAACAGCATGCATCCTTGAGATGCCACTATTAAAGGAAGCAGCATGATGGGAAATCTTTGATGTTATCAGATGTGATGGAAACTACACATTTGTATTTGAGTAAGTCCTGTAGACCAAAGCATTTCCCCCACCCTTAAATAACCTGAAACCAATTTCAGGTTCCCAAATGCTCTTCAAAGCAACCCACCTTAGAAGTAATGCTGATGGCATTTCAAATTCAAGGTAGTTTGCTTTTTCCATCTCCAGACTTCAAGCAGATTTGAAATTATAGGTTCAAAGAGAAAAAATATTATCTACTTTTACCCAAACCACTAGGCTCTGGTCTGATGAACAAACTCTCATAGGTAATAAACTTACCTATGGTTATGAAAATATGGCATGTAACCAAGTAGCTCAGAGTCTGAATAATGCAGTCAATTCTACGGAATTCTTCTGAGTCATAAGTATTTAGATACTTCATGCTTCAGTTCTTTCTTATTCTTGTGTTGTTGACCAAAAGTTGGAATGTAAACTTTGGGCTATGTAATAGGACAACTGTACACAACTCAGCTCCTCCTGAATGGGACATCTGTGAAGCTGAATACAAAAATCAGTGTGTGCTTGACTCCAGTGCCCACAGGGAGCCTGAGCCAAACAATTCAGAGCATTCAGACTATGAATAACTCCTGTAGCAGGAGGGTTGGTCTGTGGCTTTTAAAAAGGCTTCAGATTTGTGGTCAGTAGAACCATCCATGAGCCTATTTGAGCTAAAGGATACAGTGGACCTACTGAATTCCTCAAGCATTTAATTAGGCTTCCTGTAATTGCTTTAAGTAAAAGTGGGGGAGAATGAGACCTGAAGTTATCATCTTGGGACACCAAATATTTGGATGTGGTTGTAATATCCTGAGCATATTAGTTGCTGCTCTGCATCGTATAAAGAACCATTATAGTTCTAAGGAAACACATATTGCAAATTTATCAGCCCTTTGGTGACTGTAAGTTACTACAGTAATCTTAAAGGAAGAGGTTTGTTTCCAGTAACTGAATTTCCCCATGAAGAGGGAATGTATAAATAAGTAAAGCAGGGAAAAACCATCAAACATCAGAGAGTAGGGGGAAAAAAAGAGAGAGAGAGAAAGATATGGGGACTGGGGAAAGAGGTTGTGATTCCATCTTCCCATAGATTTCCAGAATTGGAATAATGTGAAAAAATACAATAAGATAAGAAAATGAGAGGCCTGAGTAGGGACCAGGAAAGAGGAGGCAAAGTGGTGTTATTTGTTAATGGCCTAGGATTGTTGCTGAGAGGATTGTTACATTAGTTAGACATTGGCTAACATAATCTACTAATCTTCTTTCCATAGAAGGGTGATGGATTGGAATATGCCACTTACTTGGAAATTCTTTTTAAACTGGTTAATATATAAACATACAAGGATTGCTAATTTTCAAAACATTGAAATAATTTTGAATGTACTTCATAAGCTTTTCACAATAGAGTTGCCCCTTAGGATCCTGTCACGCCTTGGGATTATAAAACCCACCGTCTTGGGCTTCATTACCATTTAGCTAGTCATTAATGGGCCTATGAGCTTAGTAGTTTCTATGACACAAGCCTCATCAGCTCTTGATAGGAAATATTGTTTGTTCCCCCAGTGGGACAGCTCCTACTCCCATTGGGTAGTTGTTCATTTCCCTGAGTGTGTTTAGTCATTTGAATATTTTCTAGGTGTTAAGGAAAGTTCTAAAATACAGTTTTTAAGGAGTTCCAGAAAATATACCCTCTCCTGTCACCTATAATCAAACATTTTGAGAAATTATAACTTTTATGAACTTATTAAACTATAAAGAATTGAATACACATACACATACACACAGATATACACATGTACACATACACATACACACATATCTATTTTATATATCATATATGTATATATTTAATTCTCATCTGATCATGTCATCTACTTGCTTAAAACACTTTAGTAATATCCATGGCTTTTAGGAAGAAACTGAAAATCTTTGAGACAAAGTCTCGCTCATTGCCCAGGCTGAAGTGCAGTGGTGCGATCTCGGCTCACTGCAGACTCCATCTCCAAGGTTCAAGCAATTCTCCTGCCTCAGACTCCCGAGTAGCTGGGATTACAGGCGTGCGCCACCATGCCCAGCTAATTTTTGTATTTTTAGTAGAGATAGGGTTTCACCATGTTGGCAAGACTAGTCTCAAACTCCTTACCTCAAGTGATCCGCCTGCCTTGGCCTCCCAAAGTGCTGGGATTACAGGCGTGAGCCACAGTGCCTGGGGGAAACTGAGAATTATAAACATTGTAGATGTGAGTAGTTCTGAAACTCAGCATGCATTGGGATTACTTGGCAGGCTGGTCAAAACACAGATTGCTGGACCCCACCTCCAGAGATTCCTATTCAGTGAGTTTGGCATGGAGCCTGAGAATGTGCATTTGCAGCAGGTTCCCAGGTGATACTGATGAAGCTGCTCTGGGGGCCACACTTTCAGAAACACTGGTGTGCACAACTATGTAAACTAGACCCTTTCTTGTCTCTAGCTTCATCTCATGCCACTATTCTCTGTGGTTGGTGCTCAGTTGTCTTCTCCTAAATTCTCAAACTCCTAATTCCCTTTCCTGCTCTTTCCCATATGTCCTGTCCCTCCTGCTCACCATATGATTGAACCAAGCTAACTCATACTGGATCCTTCACACTAGATTGGGTTCCCTGATTACTCACACTCATTCCTATGCCCACCTTTGCAGCATTGAATGCAATTGAACCTAAATAATAAGTTGTATAATGCATTGTTAACATGATACCTCTTCACAATAACATAAGTTCATTGAGGGGAAGGACTATCTTACTGATTACTTTCACAAGTGCTGATACATTATCTTTTACATAATTGATACTAAATAAATATTTATTCAAAGAATAAATGAATAGATGGACATATGAATAGTGCAAAACAATATATTTAATCATTCTTACTATACCTATACTTGACCCAAAGCAAATTCTCCTCCTCCCTAGGGGTGTTCTGCTGGTTCCCTCAATGGACACTCCATGCTGGAAGTGTGTGAGTTCAAGCTCTGGGAGAACTGGCAGTTGCCCACATATGTTGTTCAGATAACCCCTCTTGCTCAGGGCAAAGAGGCACATTGAAGAATGAATGTCTGAAACAGCCTTGATAATTCAAGATAAATACCTCTAAAATGATAATCCCAGATGCTTAGTTCAATTTTTTGTTATTCAAGATTACATAATGCTGTGAAATAAATTCCAATTATTTGAGCATTTTAGCAGGAGGCTACTTTACCTTTAACAGGGTTTTAGTATATTACAATTACAGAGAAACATTTTGGGCTTTCAAACTATTATGCATGAAAACTTTAAAGTTATATATTCTTCGGATACGATACCAGAAGCTTGTTAACAAAGGTTAGTATCTGTTTCAAGAAAAACGATGTGCCATTTAATTGAAACACAACTGCTAAAGTAATTTAGTTATTAAATAATCACAATGACTGTTGGTTTTAGCTTTGTAAATCTGTGTACATACGTTTATTTTACCCACAACTATATAATTGAGGTAAAAACCCTAGAAGATGTGAAACTCAAGTTTATATTTCAATATAGAGAGGAAGGTTAAAAAATAGCAAGCTGTATTGGGAAAGGAATTACTTTGTGGAGTGATAGAGCCCTTCTACTTTCATCCTCAGAATAATCCAGAAGATGTGAAATAGCAAATAAGAGAATGAAAAAGTTGTTGAGTAAAATAACTGGAACGAGAAGAAAGTCAAAAGAGATGAGAGACAATATCTGGGTTGTTGATCTATGGCATCAAAAGGGATGACTGGGGGAAAAATATGATGTGATGGTTTATATTTCTTTAGTATGAATCTTGTGTTGACTTAAATCTTTCTTTTTCTCTTGTCAGGTCTCATTGTCCGGGAAGTGAGCATTGAGATTTCGCGCCAGCAAGTGGAAGAACTCTTTGGACCTGAAGATTACTGGTGCCAGTGTGTGGCCTGGAGCTCCGCGGGTACCACAAAGAGCCGGAAGGCGTATGTGCGCATTGCATGTGAGTCATTGTACAATAAGCACCTTGGGTCTCAGAAGTTGATACACATAAGGGAAAGTTTACACTGTGACTACTCCAGCACCAAAGAAAACTGGTCAAAAATCCTGGAAAGGCCAGGCGCGGTGACTCACGCCTGTAATCCCAGCACTTTGGGAGGCCGAGGTGGGCGGATCACAAGGTCAGGAGATCGAGACCATCCTGGCTAACACGGTGAAACCCCGTTTCTACTAAAAATACAAAAAATTAGCCGGGCATGGTGGCAGGCGCCTGTAGTCCCAGTTACTCGGGAGGCTGAGGCAGGAGAATGGCCTGAACCCAGGAGGCAGAGCTTGCAGTGAGCCGAGATTATGCCACTGCACTCCAGCCTGGGCTACAGAGCAAGACTGTCTCAAAAAAAAAAAAAAAAAAAATCCTGGAAAAAAACTGCTCCCAGATTTCTGCATTTGAGCCACATATTCCTCTTAGGTCGCCAAGATTTCATTTTATTTTTAATTTTCTTTTTTATTTTTTAATTTTTGTGGGTACATAGTAGGTGTATATATTTACATGGTATGTGAGATGTTTTGATATAGGCATGCAATGCCTAATAATCACATCATGGGGAATGAGGTATCCACCCCTCTGGCATTTATCCTTTTGTGTTACAAACAATTCAGTTATACTCTTTTAGTTATTTTAAAATGAACAATTAAGTTATTATTGACCATAGTCACCCTGTTGTACTATCAAATAGTAGGTCTTATTCATTCCTTCTATTTTTCTGTACTCATTAATCATCCCCACCTCCCCGCAAAACCCTGCCACTACCCTTCCCAGCCTCTAGTAACTATCTTTTATTCTCTATGTCTGTGAGTTCAATTTTTTTCCTTTTATTTTTTGTTTTAAGGCACTGAGTAATTTTTCTTTAGGGATGTGAAAGAACTGTGTTACTTTCCAAAGATTTTGATTTTGTAAAAAATCTAGTAGGAATTAGACTGTAGGAAAATCAATCCTTACAATGGCATATATCATTCCTTGAATGAGTTCATTCTACCACTTTAAGACAAAGTTGAGTCGTTTTCCTGTTCAAAATAGAGATTACCAAGATAAAGCTTCTCTATTTATTTTGGAACCATTCTAGTACATTGGACCACACACAGCACTGTTTTCCAAATTGTGTTAATTTCTAGAGCATACATGTTCAGGAAGAGGTTAAAAGGTACCTTGCAAAAAAGGCTTCCATAATCAAATAAATGTAAGAAATATATTTTTTGACAAAGTTATAGAAGCTTCATTGCAAAACTTCTCAGATGATTTAATACACTAATATGCATGTTATCACCACGAGGGAGAAGGAGGCTGCAGCTTGCAGAGCCCTTTCCTCAGTAAATATTCTGTCTGTCTTAAGCAACATGGATGCCACGTAACCTGTCTCAAGGTTTCATATTGAGAAATGTTCTCATACATGAGAAAGCGCTGAAATCCATATATTTTCTTTTCTGAACCCTTTACATCTTTGCATTTTACTAATTCTATTTTGTGTTGGATGCCAATATCACTTAGCTCTAAGTCCCATCAATCCTGCTTCTAAAGCATTCCCCAGTTCTATACTTGTCTCTGACTCCCTTGCTTCTTCATTTAGATGTGGACCATTGCAGATCTTCCAGTTAGTCTCCATGGCTCAAGTCTGTTCTCTATTCCAGCCCTTCCTCCCTGTTACCACAAACACAGTCTTTCTAAAACTTAGGTCTCCTCTTGATAAGGTTTGGTTCTGTGTCCCACCCAAATCTCACCTTGAATTGTAATCATCCCCATGTGTTGTGGGAGTTAACTGAATCATGGGGGTGGATTTTCCCTATGCTGTTCTATGATGGTGAATAAGTCTCATGAGATCTGATGCTTTTATAAAGGGGAGTTCCCTTGTACATGCCCTCTTGCCTGCCACCATGTAAGATGTTCCTTGCTCTTCCTTCATCTTCCACCATGATTATGAGGCCTCCGCAGCCCTGTGGAACTGTGAGTCCATTAAGCCTCTTTCCTTTATAAATTACCCAATCTGGGGCATGTCTTTATTAGCAGCATGAGAACAGATGAATACACCTCTCATCTTGCCTCCATTCCTGCTTCACATTTTATAGTGACATGTGAGATAGGCAAAATTCCTTATAATGGCATATATCATTGAATTAGTTTTCTAGGGCTCCCATAATAAAACACCACGGATTGGATGGCTTAAACAATAGAAATTTATTTTCTCACAGTTCTGAAGGCTGGAAGTGCAATCTCAAGGTGTCAGCAGGTTTGGTTTCTCCTGAGGCCGCTCTTCTTGGCTTGCTGGTGGCCTCTTTCTCACTGTGTCTTCACATAGTCTTTACTCTGTGTGTGTGCACATCCCTGGTGTCTCTGTGTGTCCAAATTTCTTCTTCTTATAAGGACACCAGTCAGATTGGGTTGGGGCCCACCCTAACAGCTTCATTTTAACTTGATCACCTCTTTAAAAGTCTTATATCCCAATATAGTCACATCCTGAGGAACTGAGGGTTAGGGCTTCCCCATCAGAATTTGGGGGAATGGGATGTAGTTCAGCCAATAACAACTACATTTTGTGGTTTACATATCCAACCTATGTTTCTAGCTCGGAAGGGTAAGGATTTCTACATTGTAATCACACTAGATTAAAACTACTTTGATTTCCATGCCTTTCAGCTATTCTTCATGCTGAAGCATTGCACCCTTATCTTACTACCTTTCACAACATATATATGTATATGTTTGTATGTATTTGTTCACTTAGACAAATACTAAGTGAAGATTCACTCTGTTCTTGGGACAATTGTGGGTATTGGGGTTGGTACTAGAAACAAAACATGCAACCATCCTTGCCCTCATGGAGCTCATGTTGTGGTGAGGAAAGGCAAACTCTAAATAAAATGAATGATCATCAGGTCTAGAGCAGATGGTAAGTGCCACGAAGAAAAAATACAGCAGGAAAAGGGAATTTGTAGGGCTGGGAGGGAGTGGTCAGGAAGCTTTGCTGAGGAAGTTGACAGTTGCGAAGACCTGAAGGAGGGGCAAGAGGGAATCAGGCAGAGGGGACAGCGGCTGGCACAAAAACCCTGAGGCAGGAGTGTGCTGGTGGGTCCCAAAGACAGCAGTGAGGCCAGAGTGGCTAGAATAGTGAGTGAGAGGACATCCACAGATGCAGCCAGAAAGGTAAGGCCTGGGCTAAAGATGGGAGCAGTGTGTGCAGTTGGCATAGGGTTCTGTAGGTGTTGAAATTATCTTTGGTTTTGTTTGTTTGTTTGTTTGATTTTTGAGATGGGGGTCTCATTCTGTCACCAGGCTGGAGTGCAGTGGCGCAAACACAGCTCATTGCAGCCTCAGTCTCGCAGGCTCAGGTGATTCTACCACCCCAGCCTCCCAGGTAGCTGGGACTACAGGCATGTGCCGCCATGACCAGCTACTTTTTTGCATTTTTTTGTAGGGATGTAGTTTCACCATGTCACCGAGGCTGGTCTCAAACTCCTGGGCACAAGCGATTTCGCCCACTTCAGCCTCCCAAAATATTGGGATTACAGGCGTTAGCCACCACACTCGGCCCATATTTGGTTTTGAGGATAAGTTGGGAACACTTTGGAATCTTTTCAGCAGAGGAACTCATGACCTGACATCCATTAGCAGAGTCATCAGAGTCATCTGGCTGCTGTGTTGAGAATGGACCATGCTGGGCAAGGGGAGAAGCAGGAAGACCAGTGATGAGACTGCAGCTATGAGAGATGTTAAGCTACTGTAGATTGGAAGCAGTGGAGGTGGTGAGGCCAGGATTTCAGATATATTTAAAAGTAGAGATAACAGCTTTTGTTGAGACCTTGGATGTGTGATGTGAGAGAAAGAAGAGAAAGGATGATTTGAAAGGGCTAAGCCTTATCAAGGATTTCTTTCAAATGTCTTTAGTGAAGCCATTCCTGCCTCACAGAGGGAGGAGGCTGGGCATTCCTTTCTCAATACTTTCAGAGCAGTTTGTCCATACTCCTAATATAGTGCTTGTCTCATTTCAATTATATTCACTCGTAAAATTTGTGTTTCATGCCAGTGAGTTCCATGAGATCAAGAATTCTATTGTACTTAATTTTATATCTCTCCTGCTTAGCACAATACCTAGAGTATCACAGATGTTTAACAATTTTCTTGAATTAAAACTGTTATAAAGAATTCCCAGTGAAGTTTGTTCAAATGCTCGACATTAATCTTTCCTCTCTGAGAATGTCTAAATAGATTTTCTCTTTGTCTTAAGTGGAATCTCCATGAAATACTGTGAAATGGAGTCATACATGCAGCCAGTGTATTGAGGGGTGCCCTTAGGAACAATATGCTAAGGGTACTAGGATATCAGGTGGAGGAATAAAGGCAATGGTTGGGCAGAGGGAGAAATTGACCTGCAGAGCAAATACAACACGTGATGACTCCATAGGAATCTGAAGCTCACATGGCCCTTCAGAGTTATAGCACCCTGAGGCTGAAGGGGTGAGCAGACCTGTATTCCCCTACATAGACTAGTCAGTGGATGAAGACCCTCCTTTACTCCCTACCCCACCAGCATGTGTAACCAGGGCCAAGTCAGCTCTGCACCACTGAGGGTGATTCCAGGAGAGAGAAGCTGAGACTTTCACCGTCAACACTTCCAACAGGTGGGACCAGGCCTGAAAGGGGATCCTGGTAGCATACCACAACATCCACTGCCACAAATTCTGAAGAATTGATTTTTTATTAATTATAAAGAAAAATACTTTTAATCATGTTTAAAAAGAACAAAAAGCAAATGTTTCAGTCAAAGATTTAATTGAATTCAAAATCAGTTTCAAACTGTAATCAAAGGAGGCACAAGGAAAGAAAGCTATTCTTTTATCTTTCATTTCTATGTATTCATTAATAGCAAGCACAATATATACTTAAAATTGCCAGTCTACATTCCACACTACATTGACTTGCTAAAGCTGAACTTTAAGAGCTGCATAGTTTCAAATAATGAATTTTTAGTTAATAAGCCTTCAATTTTCAGTAATTTGCAGAGACCATTGTTGTGCCAATTTCATATATATATATAATTATATGTGTTTGAGTAGATATATTCTTTTTCAGCACACAAACATTAAGTACATATAGGTATAAGACCCCTTTCTTTGCAGTATGTTCTATAAACTTTGCTATTTACTTCATGGCTTTTCAATCTATTTTCAAATAAAAAAACAAACTCTTCTTCTAGGTCAACATTATTTATCCAAGGTACCTTTTCACCCTCATGTAATAATATTCAAGAGCAGTTCACCTATAATTCTGTAGCTAACTGAACTCATATGTGTGTACCGAAGGAACCCCACCTAACTTGTAAAGATTGACTCATAAAGATATGCATCATAATGAGAACAAAAAAGGTTGAATTTTCAAATTCTCTCTGTACAGGCTGATCCTTATCATTAGAAGCCCCTTGCTAATGTTGCAGAAGTTTGTGGGGTTTTTAGTTTTTGGTTTTTGTTATTTTTTGAGAGAAAGTCTTGCCCTGTCCCAGACGGGAGTGCAATAGCACAATCTCGGCTCATTGCAACCTGTCTCCTGGGTTCAGGTGATTTTCCTGCCTCAGCCTCCCCCCCATGTAGCTGGGATTACTGGCATGCACCACCATCCCTGGCTAATTTTTGTATTTTTAGTAGAAATAGGGGTCCCTCCATGTTGCCCAGGCTGGTCTCGAACTGGTGAACTCAAGCAATCTGCCTGTCTCAGCCTCCCAAAGTGCTGGGATTATAGGCGTGAGCCACTGTGCCCAGCCACTTATGGGTTTTCTACTCTGTCCTGTATCAAGTGAACTGTGGTGCTCTGCCCAGTAATACTTGACCGAGGGCCATCACATAAATGGCAACTTAAGTTTAAACTCATCAGAGGTGAAGATCACCACGATGCTAAACTTAAATAAGTATGATTACCTCTTACCTAATTAGATTTATGCTCATTTGATGTACTGTGGAGGGGCCCATAGTTCTTTCATGAAAAAGCTCTATTTTCAGTTTATAAACCATAAATGAATATTGACTATTAATTTATGTATTTAAGCTTGCTTACAATATTTCACACATTCAAACCATGTAAAATGTAAAAATAGGTTTGTGAGACAATCAAGGCAGAGGAAAAAATGGAAATATGAAAGTTAGGATTCAGCCAGGCTGTGCTGAGAACATAACACATCTGCTTTAAAATCCTGCACATTAACAAGACAGCAGTGCCAAATTTCCTAGGCGGGTCTGGTAGTTTTCATTCAGAGAAAAGTTTATTCTGAGAGAATTCAAGTTGCCACTACAATGGTGTCCTGTGCAGAACCCTTACTGTAATACAGCTCCCAGTGTCATCATGGGGTTGTTTCTTCCAGTGTCTCTTGTTACAGGCTGATGAGTGAATCCCAAAGCTTAAGGTTCAGGCAAAATATTAACATACAAGGTCTTTCCTCAGGAACAATTTGGGTTTCAATAGTGCCGCTCTTGATGTTACCATTGTTGACAATGTTGTGATTGTGTTGTGGGGGTAAGGATATGATGGAAAAAGCAGCATAGGAGACTGGTTAATAGCACAAGCTGAGGGACAGATTGACTCATGTTCGAATCCTAGTGCCATGACTTCCTACTGTGACCTTAGTCAAGTTACTTGACCTCTGGGAGCCTTAGTTTCATCAACCATAGCATGAAAAAGAGTTATTTTAAGATTAAATGAGATAAACTTGTAAAACATATGACATAGTGCCAGACACAGTGCAAATGCTCAGCGAATGATAATAGGTGTTCATAAAAATGGATATAACCATTTTAAACAACTTTATATGTTTATTTTGAAACATCAATACTGAGCAAACTTTGAAAACTGAAAAGTCTGTCTTTCCTTTACCATTTCATGTCCCAGGGCTAGACTGTCAATCCTAGAGGTTGAAATTCTCTGCTGATTCACATAAAATTTGACTGTAATTTCCAACCCCTTCTGCCCATGCCTGAGGATGGAAGAACATGCCATATGGTCACCCTTATCCTACAGTCATGAGCTATAATGGGATTTACATGCACCCAAGATTCATCTTCCGGGGAACAGCAGGATGGCTCCTCCGGATTTCCTCTCGATCGTGTGTGCAAACCAATAAATCACAGCCAGCATCACAAAGCCTGCTGGCCACAAAGAGGAATAAGGTAGTTCCTAGAAAGAATTAAGGATGATCAAGGTGGCCCCTCCTGGCTTCCTCTCACAGCTCACTCATCATTTTCACTGAGAGAATAACTACATTTGTGACCCACCTGTGGATTTGGATCAAGTCTTGTTCATATTCGTGAGTCTATAGTATCCAGCACACTGTCTAAAACAGCAGCGTCCAATAGAAATATGCCAGCCACAAATACTGTTTACACTTTTCTAGTAGCCACAATTTAAAAAGAAACAGATAAAATTATTTCGGTCATGTATTTCACTGAGTCCAGTATGTCTAAACTATCATTTCAACAGTATTACCAATATCAACAAGTATTTATGAAATACTTTTCTTTCTTTTTGTCATACTGGTTTTTCAGAGCTAGTGTGTGTACCCTTACAATAGCTTCAGTTATGACCAGCTACAGGTCAAGTGCTTGAAAGCCTCATGTGGTTTGCATTGGACAGATAGGCTCCAGAATAATAATACTGATAATAATGGAAGTGCTGTTTCAATCATGTATTATGTATTAGATCATTCAGTCTTTGCAAGGACTCTATGTGATGAGTGTTATTATTATTCCCATTTTATAGACAAGGAAATTGAGAGCAACGGGAGATTAAAAATCGCCTGAGGTTATACAGGTGGTATATGGAGCAGTGAGTCAGGCCAGCATCCAAGTCCATGTGTTTAACCAGTACACTGGGTACAAAGAAGGGAGGAGGAGACAAGGATTTGTAGATCAGCTGGCAATTCACAAAAACATCTTATTCTCTACATGCATAATGTTTATAACTGGTGCAATGTCTTACGTTGTAATCCCAGCACCTTGGGAGGCCAAGGTGGGAGGATCACTTGCACATAGGGGTTTGAGACCAGCCTGGGCAACATAGCAAGACCTTGTCTCTAATAAAAGCCAAAAAAAATTAACCAAGTGTGGTGGTGTGCACCTGTGATCCCAGCTGGGATACTACTGTCAGCCCAGAAGGCTGAGGCAGGAGGATCCCTTGAGCTCAGGAGGTCAAGGCTGCAGTGAGCCATGATCACACCACTGTACTCCAGCCTGGGTGACAGTGAGATCCTGTCTCAAAAAAAAAAAAAAAAAAAAAAAAAAAGCTCACTATTATTTATAATACAGAAACATAAACAGACCTTGGCTTCCTGCCTCTCTTCTTATTGCTTTGTCTGCTCTAACCACATCCATTTCCTTGTTTCCAGAATGCAATAGATTCATTCCACATATAGGCTGCTTGCAAGAACTGTTTCTTCTCACTTGAAACATTCTTACCCCAAGTCTAAAACTGGCTTACTTTCTTCTTTCATTCAGATTTATACTGAGATGTCACTCCTATAGAGGGGTCTGTCTATCCGGGCCTCAACCCTGTCACTTGCCTAATCCTAATCCTGCTTTATTGTTCTCCATAACATTTTTCTTCATCATTATTTGTTTTCTTTTGAGTTAACCATCTGCCATACCAGAATGTAAGCTTCACAAGGACAGAGACTTTCTTTTCTTCCTTGTTGTCTCCAGTGCCTAGAAGACGTCCCTTGCCTGTGGCTGCTGATAAATAAATTAAAACATAAAAAAATGAAATAAAATTGAATTAAATTGAAAGTACATGATGGGGAAAAGTGAAGATACTATTCAATGTGAATCATTTGTTCATTTAATAAAAATACTTTTTTTCCCCAAGGAATTCAAGAACATCAGGTAGCTGGACGTAATTGCCTCTACACTCTTGTACTTATTACGTTTCTGCATAGCACTTCTCACCTTCTAAACCATCATACATTTACTTATTTATTAGTTAATGGTTTGTATTCTGTACCCCCTCACCCCCTTAGAAAGTAAGGTCCACATAGGCAAAGATTTGGGTTTGGTTTTTTCACTGATTAATTCAAAACGCCTAGGGTGATTCCTGTCACAATGTAGGGACTCAAGAAATATCATAAAGGAATGAATGAATTGACATTTCTGTATTTAAGTATCTCCAGTTAAATATATATGTAATCTCCGGGAGGCTGAAGCAGGAGAATGGCGTGAACCTGGGAGGCAGAGCTTGCGGTGAGCTGAGATCGCACTACTGCACTCCAGCCTGGGTGACAGAGCAAGACTCCATCTCAAAAAAAAACAAAAAAAATTTATATATATATATATATATATATATATATATGTGTGTGTGTGTGTGTGTGTATATATATGTATATATATGTGTATATATATATGTAATCTCATGAATTATTATATTGGTTCACATGTACAGAAGTCCTGATTTGTGGCCTTATGTGTTACTTTTTTATTTTCTACCTGTCTACTCTACTTGGCATAAAACAAAATTAATTATACAATTTAACAAAAATAATGCATTTCTTTAAACAAGCATCCTGAAAGATGAAGGTCATACTATAAACAGTTCTAGTAGCCTAACACCAAATGTACTGGCAGGATTCAGCAGGCTCCCCTGTACACCAGAATAAATGGCATTTTTACTAAGGTACATTTCTGAGTTGTAGTATGATACCTTGTATAACAACCATTAAAGCCCACATTAATCCAATTATAAGTAACAGAGGCCATATTTTGAATTGGATAAGATTAAATATATACTTTAGACATTTTTAGATAAGGGAAAAATATTTAAACAATAAATTAATTAATACTCTTGTTTTATATAAATCTTGACAGTTGTATTATCAGGTTATTCCTATTTCAAGATTAAATATTATAATGTATACCTGATTGTGTCAGTCTATATTTTTTCAAACATATTTGCTTTTGTAGATGGTCAGAAGTTCCCAAGTTTCATGGATGCCCCACAAATTCTTAGGCATTTATAGCTCATATTTATTCTGAGAGGTAGACAACGAATTCATAGAACACAGTCTCATAAGTCATATTTTGGGGGAAATCATCTATACGTATGTTATAGGCAGGGCTGGTAACACACTGGACAAAAATGTGTTATTAAAGTATGTTTTATGCTGTATGAAAAGTGAAGTTTATGGCTAAAATGCTTATTTGCAAGAAAACAGCTTGTCTGCAATCATTGCATTCTTTTTTTTGTACTCTGAGAAAAGAGCCTTAGCTTTTTGGTATGTCAGTTTCCTCATCCATAAAGTTGGCATATTTCTTATTATTTATCCCTAAGACATACCTTAAAAAATACTGTGATGACATATAATCATTTTTTTTCTGAAACTAAAGATGCATTTTGAATATAAAAGAGTGGCTTGTATGGATTTTTTTTCTTCCTCTTTTCTGTAGTGGATGTCATTTGGAGTGCTAGCTGAAATATTTATTTTTTTAAAAAACTCTTTAACAAGACTATCTGAATACAAATGTGTTTGTCCTATAAATGCCCAAAAGTCAAGAAATAACGAAGAATGGCTGAAATTGTCCTCCCTTCTAAAGAGTCTTTGTTCCCTGGAATTTCTCTCATTTAAATGATCTCAGTGCAGTAAGTGATAGCCAGGGCTTGGCACGACTGAAGAAATTACCAAGCTTACCTTTCTGCTGACTTGCTGCAGATCATTCTAACCGCTCTTCCTGGTTATGAGTTATGATATTATGAAAGTGTTTGTGGTAAATTCCTAAGAGAGAACGAAAACTTTACCCCTTACAAAAGCAAAATGCGGTTATAAAACAACAGGAAAAAAATCAAAGTCGATTGTCCTTATTCTTTCTTCTTTAGTCTCTGTCCTAGTAGCCAACATTTATTATATGCTTACTGTATGCCTAACTCTGTTATAAGACCCTTGTTCATGTTAACTATCATAATCTTCATACGACATCCTATGAAGTAAGTTCTGTTATCTTCATTTTGTAAATAACAAAACAGAATCATGGAAATATTAGCTAACTTGCCCATGTCACCTGTTTAGGAAACACTGAATCTGAATTTTAAACAAACTTTTCTCTTTGCAGTCCAGTTCATTGCACACAGTTGCAAAAAACATACAACCATTCTTGACTTTTCAAACTATAGAGGGAACTGCATATAGTTGATTTTTGTTTGTTTTATTGTTTACAATATTTGAGAAGGAAAGATAAGTTAAAAAAAAAAAAACACCACCAAACTTTTTATTTCTTTAATTTGTTTTTTCAGAGACAGGGTCTTGCTTGTCATCCAAACTGGACTGCAGTGGCATGAGCATAGTTCACTGCACCCTTAACTTTCTTGGGCTCAAGCGATCCTCCCACCTCAGCCTCCCTAGTATCTGGGACTACAGATACCTACTACCATACTCTGCTAGTTTTTCTATTTTTTGTAGAGATGGGGGTTCTCACTTTGTTGCTCAGGTTGATTCCAAACTCCCTGGCCTCAAGCGATCCCCAATCTTGGCCTCTCAAAGTTCTGGGATTATAGGTATGAGCCACTGCACCGAGCTTCAATTTTTAAAATATTCTATAACCTTTATATTTACAAACCACAATAAGAGTTGCTTAGCATAATAATATTTTTCTTTATTTTTAAAAATTCCAGCAAAAATCAGATACTCTATTCCTGGAAAAGAAAACCATAGCTAACATTTCAGGGCTCTATGGCATTAAGTCAGGCATTTTTCACTTTTAATAAATGCCCAAAGCTCTGAAGGCCAATCTAGTTCTTCCAAAATATGCTTCACTGTTTGGTTCACAGCAGTTATTTCCTGTTAACAGCCAGATTTGGTGATTTAAGCATAAATTCTAGTCTGCTATGACAACATAATTAGCACTTTCCATCATTATTGGAAGAAAGATACATTTTTTTCCCTTTAAGAACACAGTATTATTACTTTGAGTGACCATGAAATCATTTGCTAGAGGAGCACTTTGAAAATATATTAAAACAGCTTTTTTTAAAAAAATATTAGAATGTGTTCAACACCATTGTTCAGTGAGTGTGTAAAAAGAATTAACTGAAAAGCACCTGAAAATATGAAAATGTGAATCATAGTACAGCAGCTGTATTTGCTTAATGCAGGGTCAGGCCTAGGTCAGAAAGTGAGTAAGCTGGCCAGCAGCAGATAACAACATGAAGCTCTTCTAAGTACAGAATTTCCACAGATCGAGGGCCTTTTTGTCAAGACCAGTTCAATTTGGGAAGCAAGAAGCTTATTTCTGATATTTGGAGTTTGGCTTCTTAGTAAAATTTAAAGAAATAAATATCAGTACAACCATCAACTCTGTGAACACTTGACAGCAATGCTGATTTAGGGGCTGGAGGAAGTGGGTATGTAAATGAGTACATTGACAGAGGACTCTTTATGTAACTGCACTGTCCTAAGTGTGCTATTTATATTACCTTTTAAAATCATCACAGTAATCCTATACAATATGTAATAGAATTATCTTCATTTTATGGATGAAGAAATGAAAACATAGCAACCTCAGTAAGTACAGAACTAGGATTAAACTATGGCAGAGCAGATCCAGGCTCCATGCTTGTAACCACCACAGCAGGATAGATAATGACCCCCAAAGGCATCAGGTCCTAATCTCTGGAATTTGTAAATATTAACCTTATGTGGAAAAAGGATCTTTGCAGATTTGGTTAAGAATCTTGAGATGGAGAGATTTTCTGACATTGCCCAGGTGGGCTTTAAAGGTCATCACAAATGCCTTGTAAGAGAAAGACAAAGGGAGATTGACACAGATTGAAGAAGAGAATGCAGTGTAACCACAGAGGTAGAGATTAGAGGGATGTAGCCACAAGCCAAGGAATGCCATCAGCCACTGGAATCTGGGAGAGGCAAGTCATGGTCTCTCCCTAAGAAACTCCAGAGGGAGCGCATAATCCTGCTGTCCCTTTGATTATGGCTCAGTGAAACTGATTTCAATTATTTGGCCTTTAGAACTACAAGTGAATATATTTCTGTTGTTTTAAGCCAGGAAGTTTGTGGAAATTTCCACTGGAAACAAATACAGCTGCTACGCGGCATCCATTTTCCAGCAAATTCACATCATGGAGTAATCCACTTCTAAATAGCTGGTGAGCTTGAATGAGTGAGTTAGCCTCTCACAGTTCTAGTTATATAATCTGTAAAGTGCTGGGCACGGTGGCTCACGCCTGTAATCCCAGCAGTTTGGGAGGCTGAGGCAGGCGGATCACAAGGTCAGGAGATCAAGACCATCCTGGCTGGCACGGTGAAACCCCGTCTCTACTAAAAATACAAAAAAATTAGCCAGGCATGGTGGCGGGTGCCTGTAGTCCCAGCTACTCGGGAGGCTGAGGCAGGAGAATGGTGTGAAACCAGGAGGCAGAGTTTTCAGTGAGCAGAGGTCGCGCCACTGCACTCCAGCCTGGGTGACAGAGCGAGACTCCCTCTCAAAAAATAAATAAATAAATAAATAAATAAATAAATAATCTGTAAAGTGAGGGGGTTGGACTATGTGACTTGTAAGACATTTTATAGTTATATATCATAAGGGAAATTGTTTCCAGGCCTTCAGTAAAGGGAATTGCCAGATTATTTTGGGAACTGAATTTAACTCAGCATTTACTAAGGCACTGCTATATACCCAGCACCAAGCACCAAGATTTATTTGATCTCAAAGTATTTTTTAAATTTTAATATGTAGCATTCAAGGCTGGGATTAAGTTTGTTTTTTGAAGTAAAACTAAGCAGTGACATGATATCGGATAAAAACATGGCCATAACTGTGCAGGCACATTGCATATCAGGAGTTTCTGTGCAGTGAACTCTAGGCTGAGGATGCAGATTCATTGCATCTTGCCTGTTAATCCCTGCTCCGCTGTGGCCTCCCAGAGTCCTGTGTTGGAGCAGATCCTGAAGCTAAATCCAGACTCTGGAGAAAAGAATATCGTGGTCAGTTAGGTATAGACACACGAGCTGGAAGGGAATGTAGTGGTTCCAAATATTTGCCATTCCTACTCTAAAGAACAATAATTCAGATCATAACCACTCTTAACTGTTTCCTGCTATACCTGAAAGAGCTTCAGGTTTTTCTTCAAAGCAATTGTAGAAATGACAACATTGGTTCCGAAAAGAATGTAGAGACATTTTTATTCTAAGTAATCATCAAGAATTACAGAAATGACTGCAAAGTGTCTTTTCAGCCATCAAGAAGCTTTTTCTTTTCCTAACTCAGGTGCTATTGGTTTACATTTATTAAAAATGTCAGCTAATCTTCTGAAGTGCCCACATTTATGGCCTAACATTCCTTCTGAAAGTAGGTAAAGGAGTATAAGTGAATAATTATAAAATATGAATTTATGAAATGTTATGTATGCAATCCTACTAACAAAAACAGCTTTACTCACCAACATCTCTTGTTGGCTTTCTTGGTTAAGTGTCTGACAGTCAGAAGCAAAAGGCTCTGGGGATTTTCTCTTGAGGTGAGAGAGAGGCCACAAGAAACATTAAGGTAACTTGACACTTTCAGCATTGAACTATCTGGACCATTGGTCTCAAAGTAGCAGTCCACAGGTGCAATATGGCATCCCACTTTTTTGGTTTAGTCCTCAAAATGTTGGCCCACACAAGTATTTTGATAAAGTTTTAAGTAGCTGACAACATATACAGTTAGAAAAAAAAATCTCATAAAACTCCATATTACCAACTTCTGTTAGTCATCAGATTTGGGGTCTGTGGCCCATTGAGCCTGCATTCCTATTGGCACCATGCAGCCGGAGCTAAGTAACGAGAGTAAAGAGGAAGCTGATTGATTGGTTTTGTACCCACATCTCCATTAAAAGTTAGAAACAAAAGACAACCCAGGTAGGTGTCATGTTTCAAGAAAAAAAATCTTATGCCTAGCTTTCTCCCATTTGTTACCTGAATGGCCCCTGGAGACATATGAAACTCAAGTCCTGTGCTAGACAATGTCAGCCATCAGCTGGTACAAAAGTGAGCTCTGGGACTCTGTGGACACACCAACACGGACCCAGTAAAGCAGGCATTTAGAGCCACCGTGCAGAAGCAGATCTGCATGGCTCCCCACAGCCTCCTACAGTGCCCACAGTGCCATGCGTAACTTGGTGTTCCATAATCAACGAATCAATTCATCAACCAGTGCTTCTCAGATTTTAGTGTTATGCAGAAAACACACCTGTGGAGTTTGTTAAAACTGTAGATTCCCAGGGCCCAACCTGAGTGTGGAATCTGCAGTTTAATCAAGCACAGCAGGGTAATACCTGCATATCTCTTTATGAAACATCACCTTCAATTATTAGCCCTCCCAATTGCTTTGTCTCACTTGGTTATGTTTATTTTGATTAGTAGTGATAACAGTAGATGTATAGCCTAATAAAATTTATTAATACTTCGGGGAAAAAGTAGAGTGGGGGATTATTATCTTTTGGGCACTTACTATATGCTAGGCATGTGCTTAGAATTTTATAGGTGACCTTTCCTATATAACCCTGTGAAATTATACCCATTTATAAGCTGATGAAACTAAGGCAGGAAGAGGTTAAGCAATGTGCTTAAGGTCAAATGGATAGTCAAGTGGTAGGGTCAGGACCTAAACCCAGGGTTTTGTATGCCAAAACCTTGTTCTCAGCCACAGTGTTAGCCTACCCAGTGGTTTTCAGACCTTTTTGACTTACAATAAAAAATAGGTTGATATCATGATCCACTAGACACATACCCGCATCCTTACACACAGAAACATATGAGTGTATATACACAAACACATCTATAAGACTATGTATATCTTGATAACTTCTGTTCATTCAGTTTCACACTTTTTAATGCTGGGTTTTAATCCACTGAATAGATGTTGTAACCCTCTCAAGGGTCATAACACTCAGTTTGAAAAACAGCAATAAACCTGAAATTCCATAAGAACAATAAGGAATATTAGATACTATAGTTTATGGACCTTATGGCCAAAGTGTGTGTGAGAATTATGTGTACAAAATTTATGCAGATGAGTAATCACCTTTCATTTCAGAACTCTCTGAGTAATAATAAATGTAATTATAATAATTTATTACATACGTTGTGCTTTATAATTTTCCAAACTTTTCAGATTCAATATCTATTTTAATATTCACAAAACCTGATGAAGTCTAAAAAAAGAACAACAGTAATAATGTAACATATCATTTATGTCTTATCATTCTGTGGAATTTAAGGATTTAGATTTCCACTAGAATAGTCTATTGAAGTATACCCATTGAAGAATTACTTGCTTCATAATATCAGTCTATCACATCACCAATATTTTGTTTTCTTAAAAAAAGTTATTATGTGCTTAACGATGGATAGAAAAAAATATTTTATTCTAATAAATAAATCTTTCTGCATAATGAAGTACCTTTGGTGAGATAATAAATATTTAATAAATGTAAATCATTTTTAAATTAGAATAAAACATGCTTATCTTCTTCAAGGCAATAGTATCCACAACCTGCCTGCTTAGCTAACACAGGGAGATGCTTTTGC